>NW_011332689.1:0-208149 GCF_000001405.40 Homo sapiens | reverse complement strand
GGTCTTTGTAGCTCAGTTAAAGGTTTTGAGATGAGACCCTCCTGGATTAGGGCTTCCCAATGACAGGTGTCTATATAAGAGGCGGAAGAGCAGAAGGCACAGACACAGTGAGACGCCGGTGTGAATGCAGAGGCGGGATCGGAGCCATTCCACCACAAGCCAAGGAAGCCTGGAGTCACCAGACACTGGACGAGGCAGGAGGGACCCTCCCCTAGAAGTCTCCAGGAGAAGACAGCTGTGTGGACACCCTGACTTCAGACTTCAGCCTCAGAGCTAAGATAGTGTGTCTGCTGTTGTAAGCACCCCGCCTGATGTGTGGCCAGGTGTTATGGTGGCCCCAGGACACTGATGCACCAGGCTGGGGTGGGGCCCTGGCTCTCAGGTCTGAGGGCACCGTGCCTAGGGCAGGGCCTGCAGTCTCTAGGGCGCCTTCTCAACAAGAAGAAAGCAGGGGCTGGGCATGGTGGCTGACAGCTGTAATCCCAGCACTTTGGGAGGCTGACACAGGCAGATCGCTTGAGGTCAGGAGTTCGAGACCAGCCTGGCCAACATGGCGAAACCCCAACTCTACTAAAAATACAAATATTAGCTGGACATGGCGTGTGCCTGTAATCCCAGCTACTCAGGAGGCTGAGGCAGGATAATCGCTTGAACCCAGGAGGCAGAGGTTGCAGTGAGCCAGAATCACACCACTATACTCCAACCTGGGTGACAGAGAGAGACTACGTCTAAAAAATATGTATAACGAATAAATAAATAATAAATAACTAAAAAGAAAAAAGAAGAAGAAGAAAGGAAGAGGCACCTTTAGGGTTGGGTACGGGGCGAAGTTTCAGGGCCAGTGTCCCCCGGGGCACACTGGAAGGTTCTGGCCATCTCTGGGGTGTACCACCACTTTCTCTAAAGCCTGAATTTCTCTGAGATAGGCCCCCACCCCTCCTCCTTTTGCCCCCTTTGCCTGGCCTCCTGTAGTTCTGTGTTCCTGGAGTGACCCCATGCGCTCAGGACAGCCTGGGCTCCCTGGGATGGGCAGACGCCTGCATCATCCAGGGCGTCTGGACTCTGTGCTGCCCCACTGTTACCATTGCCTGCCCCTGGTTCTCTGCAGCCCTGAGGCCAGGCGGCCCCTGCCCCACCTGATCTCAATGACACAAAGTTCTCCCCTGCATGGAAGAGCTGTGGGACCTTCTCTACCCCACTCTCAGCCCAAAGTGATTCTGTTCCAGCAGGGCCCGGTTAGAAACCGGCAGCTGCCAACAAAAAGGACCCATCTGTGAGAAGGGAAGAAACTGGCTTTTAGAATATCTTGACAATGGGGAAGGAAATTGCAGGAAATGGGAAGAAATGGCAGAGCCGGGACACATTTTCCAAACTGCAAAGATTTTCTGAATATACATATAATAGGTATAATTGACATTCTTTTCCTTATAAAATGCTTCCAGATGATCTCCTTTCCCCTTTTCAACAGGGCAGCGTCCAGCCTTATTTGTCAGGCATGCTCACGCCTTATGTCTGGCCTTATAGAAAAACAGACTTTCACCCAGAGCCTCACTCCAGAAGCATCAGGAGCTGCCCTGTCCTGGGACATGCAGAGCAGCCCAGGGAGGGCAGGGACTGTGGGATCATTCTGTCCAACGCGACTGCAGGTTGGCTGGGCTGAGGTGGCCAAGGCCCTTCCTGGTCACCTCCAGGTAAAATGCAGAAGGAGCCTCCTCGCCCTGAGCTCAACGTAATATACAAGCCCCCCGTGCTGACGTTCTGTGGCCACATTCCTGAAAGGTGTTTTAGGGTCCAAAGCACTCATGAGAAGTCTGGTTTTCTAGAGAAATGTTCCTCAGTGGGGAAGGAGCGCACGTCTCACCAGCTGCCCTGTGTCATGTCCAGCTGTGACCCTGGGAAGCCTCAGAGCCTCAGGGTGACCTCACCAAGCAGAGGTGAGGTGAGCTGGGTCAGACAAGAACGTGCTCTGGATTTCCACCACAGCCACTCATTGCCCATGTGAGTTCCGGGCCTGCCTTTCCACGTCTGTGAAACAGGCACGTGTCTGACCTGAAAGGGTGTTGTATAGATTGAGTGCAATGGCCAACTGCAGCCCAAATATTGGCTGGGCTCCTGCTGTCTCTTCGTTTTAATTAAAATCAAGTCAAATCTGCATTCGGGGGAGCAGGAGCCCAGCCCCCTTCCGCAGGAATCCTGGCTGTTTCCAAAGAGTGGCTCTCAGGGCCGCTTTGGGTCTGGACTGCAGGTCTGGGTGCTTTGTTTGCCTCAGGAACCACCCTGCCACTAAACGGTGTCACCAAATTACCTTTGCCTAAGGTCCCACAAACAGCGCACACCAGGCATGCACAGAACGAGGCCGTTCCCACTCAGGATGAGAAATGTATTTTAGAGCACAAGCCCAGTCCTGTGGACACAGAGTGTACAAGTGTGTACAGACATACCTTTGGGGTATTGCGGGTTCAGTTCCAGACCACTGCAACAAAGTGAATATTGCAAAAAAGTAAGTTGCACAGATGTTTTGGTTTTCCAGGGCATATAAAAGCTATATTTATACTGTACTATAGTCTATTCAGTGTGCAAATAGTATTATGTCTCACAAAAACAATGTGCATACCTCACCTTAAAAATACTTCATTGCTAAAAAATGCCAACAATCATCAGAGCCTTCCGCAAGTTGTAATCATTTCACTGCTGGACTGCTGGAGGGTTTTGTCTGGAGTTGGTGGCTGCTGACTGCATAGGGTAGTGGCTGCTGAAGATTGGGGTGGCCGTGGCAACTTCTTAAAATAAGACAACAATGAAGTTTGCTGCATCTGTTGACACTTTCTTTCATGAAAGATTTCTGTTGCTTGAGATTCTATTTGATAGCATTTTATCCATAGTAGAACTTCTTTTAAAATTAAAATTTTAAATTTTAAAATTGAGAGTAAATCTCCCTGCCACTGCTTTATTAACGAAGTTTATGTAATATTCAGAATCCTTTGTTGTCATTTCAACAACGGTCACGACATCTTCACCAGGAGTAGATTCCATTTCATGAAACCACTTTCTCCGCTCATCCACAAGAAGCAATTCCTCATTCACTCAAATTTTCTCCTGAGATTGCAGCAGTTCCATCCCATCTTCAGGCTCCACTTCTGATTCTAGCTCCCTTGTCATTTCCACTACATCTGCAGTTGCTTCCTCCACTGAAGTCTTGAACCCCTTAAGTCACCTATGAGGGTTGGAATCAACTTCTTTTAAACTCTTGTTAATGTTGACATTTTGACTTCCTCCCATGAATCAAAAATGTTCTTACTGGCATCTAGAATGACGAAGCCTTTCCAGAAGGTTTTCAATTGACTTTGCCCAGATCCATCAGAGGAACCACTATCTATGTCAGCTATAGCCTTACAAAATGTGTTTCTTCAATAATGAAACTTGAAAGTCAGATCACCCCTCGGTTCATGGGCTGAAGAATGGATGTTGTATTAGCAGCTGTGAAAACAACATGAACCTCCTTATGCCTCTCCATCAGAGCTCTTGGGGGGCAGGTGCATTGTCGGTGAGCGGTAGCATTTTCAGGGGAATCTTTTTTTTCTGAGCAGTAGGTCACAACAGTGGGCTTAAAATACTTCGTGAATCATGCTATAAAGAGATGTGCTGTCATCCAGGCTTTCTTATTCCATTTATTACTAGTATTATTTTGGGGACAAGGTCTCACTCTGTCACCCAGGCAGTGGCGTGATCATAGCTCACTGCAGCCTCAAACTCCTGGGCTTAAGCGATCCTTCTGCCTCCCAAAGTGCTGGGATTACAGATGCGAGCCACTGCCACCCAGCCATTGTTGTTTCATTTGTAGAGCATGGCGGAGTCAATGTAGCATAATTTTTAAGGGTCCTAGGATTTTTCAGAATGGAAAAGAGTGTTGGCTTCAGTTTGAAGGCACAGCGTAATGCCCCTAACCAGAGAGTCAGCTTGTCCTTTGAAGCCCTGCATTGACTTCTCTCTAGCTATGAAAGTCCTAGATGGCATCTTTTTCCAACAGAAAGCTGTTTCTTCTACATTGAAAGTCTGTTGTTTAGTGTAACCACCTACATCCATGATCTCAGCTAGATCTTCTGTATAACTTGCTGCAGCGTCTCCATCAGCACTTGCTACTTCACCTTGCACCTTTATGTGATGAAGATGGCTTCTTTCCTTCAGCCTCCTGAGTCAACCTCTGCTGGCTCCAGGCTTTGCTTCTGCAATTTCCTTCTCTAGCTTTACCGTCACAGAATTGAAGAGAGTGAGGGCCTTGCTCTGGATTAGGCTTTGGCTTCAGGGAATGTGGTGGCTGGTTTGATCTTCTAGCCAGACCACTTCTCCATATCGGCAATGCCAGGGGATCTGACAAGGTTCTACACCCACCCATCAGTGTCACTCAGCTTTGCTGGGCTATGTGGGTGACTTCCCCACCCCTAGCCCACACACATGGGTTTTTTTTTTCCTATGGAAGAAAAGACCACCCAATGAAAAAAGCACAGGTTACCTACTCAGAGCTTGCTATAGCAGGGGAGGCAGCCATTATCACCTGCATTTGGCAGAGACAAAGATAAGCAGAGGAGTGGGGAAGCTTCATGGTAGGAAAACGGGGAGGCTCAGGTGTGCCCTGGCTAGAGGCCTGTATTAGTCAAGGTTCTCCAGAGGGACAGAACTAATAGGATAAATATATATATATATATATATATATATATATATATATATATATATGAAGGGGAGTTCATTAAGGAGTATTGACTCACACGATCACAAGGTGAAGTCCCACAATAGTCTGTCTGCAAGCTGAGAAGCAAGTCCAAGTCCCAAAACCTCAAAAGTAGGGAAGCCAACAGTACAGCCTTCAGTCTGTGGCTGAAGGCCCGAGACCCCCTGGCAAACCACTGATGTAAGTCCAAGAGTCCAAAAGCTGAAGAACTTGGAGTCTGATGTTCAGGGGCAGGAAGCATCCACCACGGGAGAAAGATGAAGGCTGGAAGACTCAGCAAGTCTGCTCATTCCACTTTCTTCTGCTTGCTTTATTCTAGCCTCTCTGGGAGCTGATTAGATGGTGCCCACCCAGATAATGGGAAGATAACTTCCCAGGCTAGTGACTTTTTAAGATGGGTGGGCTTCCTGGCCTACTGACTGTGGATGATTGGTGGGCTTCCCGGCTGGTGACTGTGGATGATGGGTGGGCTTTCTGGGCTGGTGACTGTGGATGATGATGGGTTTTGTGTGCTGGATGCTGCAGGTCGTGGAATTCTGTTTTTACATCTGGGCTGGACATTGTCCATTCAGCCTCTCACTCCCTTAAGTGTTGCATTGAGGCCCAGGAGCTTCTCTACCCTCAGGGATGTGCAGGGTGGCCCAGTGGCTCATTGCTTTGGCTCTGATGTCCACCTGCCTTACTAACTGACTTTGTTGAGTTGGAGACTTGTTTTGCCTAGAATAAAAATAACTATCAACCATTTTCCAGGTACCTGGCCTGGAAGCTCTAGTGGCGCAGTTTTCTGTTTCATCCTGGCAATTGTGGAAGGGACCATCACACCCCTCCATCACACCTCTCCATCACACCCCTCCGTCACACCCCTCCATCACAACCCTCCACATTCCTCCATCACACCCCTCCATCACACCTCTGCATCATACCTCTCCACCACACCCCTCCACACCCCTCCATCACACTCCTCCATCACACCCCTCCTTTACACCCCTCCATGACTCCCCTCCATCACACCCCTCCATCACACCTCTCCATCACACCCCTCCGTCACACCCCTCCACCACACCTCTCCATCACACCCCTCCGTCACACCCCTCCACCACACCCCTCCACACCCCTCCATCACACTCCTCCATCACACCCCTCCTTTACACCCCTCCATGACTCCCCTCCATCACACCCCTCCATCACACCTCTCCATCACACCCCTCCGTCACACCCCTCCACCACACCCCTCCACACTCCTCCATCACACCCCTCCATCACACTCCTCCATCACACCCCTCCTTTACACCCCTCCATGACTCCCCTCCATCACACCTCTCCATCACACCTCTCCATCATACCTCTTCATCACACCCTGCCACACCCCTCCACACCCCTCCGTCACACCCCTCCATCACAACCTTCCATCACTCCCCTCCTTCACACCCCTTTACATGTGGAGAGAAGGAGACAGGCCTGGCATGCTGTAAGCTCAGAAAAATGCTTGCTGTGCTTTCGTATGATGACAGTTATTCTTCTGTGGTCCTTGCCCCATCTGTGTAGGACTTCGTTGTGCACTCGTGAATGTGGTTTCCAAGATGATGCAGAGTTGACACCTGCATCTTGCTCTTCTCATCTTGCCTGTGATGCAGTGGCACTAAGTAGCAGGAACCTGCAATCACAGGACATGTCCACATGCTCACCAGTGCAAGAGAGGGAAGGAGAGGAAGGAGAGGCGTTCCTGGAGAGGCGTTCCTTGCCTGCCCCTGCTGGTGCCCTCTTCGGGTCTGATCTCTTTTGGGGTTGGAAGCCCCAGGGTTCAACCTCACCAGGAGCAAAGCTCGTAAATACGGCATCAGCTCCCAGTCCTGGGAATTCACTTGTGGGCCGGGGGCTGACAAAAAGAGCAGAGTGTGTGTAGGCAGCTCCCTCGGGGCCACCTTCCTGACTCTGGAGGCTGGCAGGCAGGGGCAGCGCCTCCTCCAAACAGCCCCGGGCGCAGGCTGAGCACCTCCTGAGTGCTGTAAGGGACTTGGCTTTCTAGGTACTGTAGGAAATGCCACTGTAGACTTCAGAGGAACACGTTCTCTCATTTTATAACCTCCTTGGTATAAACATCATTATTTTATTGCAGAGTATTGGGAAGTGGAGGAGAAATGCCCATGACTGCGTAACCCTGAACAGTCCTGACTCCATTTGTGAGCTGGGCCCTGGGTGGTTCTGAACAGTCCTTGCTCCATCTGTGAGCTGGGCCCCGGTTGGTTCCTGCAGTTCCGTTTTCTCACAGAGCAGGCAGCCTGGCTCTATATTCCAGCTTAGCCAGACACCAAAGCCATTCCAGTTTTCTTGGTAGGGATGGTTCCTTCTCCCAGTGTCCTGCTGATGAAAGGAAGAGGGATCCCAGAAGGGAAGGAACTGAAGGGATGCAGGAAGGGGCTGTGTGCCCCAGGGGATGCGCGTGCTTCTGGAGCTGAGGCTGGGATGGCAGAGGGAGGGGTGAACCTGGCTCACTCCCACTACTGGCCTGGGTGCTGCAGTCTCTGGGGGCTGAGTGACCTCCAGGGCGGCCATCAGTCTTCAGGGCCTCCCAACAGCAGGGTTTGGTGGCTTTAGGCCTGGGGACAGGCAGTTAGGTAAGAAGAAGAGGAGGAGGAGGAGGGCCCAGGAGAGGAACTGAATTCAGAGGGAAGCTGCCGGCCTGGAATCCGGAAGCCTGGGACTCTCTTCGGCCCTCCAGCACTTCATCAAGTATGGATGCTTTTCAAAATATAACAGACACTTGTCAATAACAACAACAAAAATAGTCAGCTTTTCCCCATTTGGTTTTATTAATCTGAGGCCATATTTAGGCAAATCCAATCTACTCCTGTGTCTAAACTTGTCTCTAATTTACATGTGTGTGGTACGTGCATGTTAATTTTTTTTTTCACTTCAAGAAAAAGTATGATCTAAAAATGTATTTTTTCCCTAAAGAGTCATGGGAAGAATCAATTTATCACAAATAATTTTAGTGATAGAATTTCTAATAAAAATAGGATTTTTCTTGAATTTTTACTAAATAAAAACTTGAATAATTAGCTACTGCAATGTATAGAGTTACATCTTCAAGAAAGAACATTATAGTGTGTCCTACATGCTGGGAAATTTTCCATATTGCTCGAAGAAATGAAAAGAAGGGATACGAAGTTGAGATAAAAAGTGATTTCCATGCCAAAGCTCTCATGTGTGGATCATAGTTCAGTCTTCATTAACTCCTTACTAATTTATTGCAAAATAAGGTAATTAATTCAGTGTTGAAAATATAATTCCTTATAAACTAAAAGAAAAGATTTGTTTAAGGAATACATAATAAGTACACACACATACACACATACATATGTTATTTTCCTTCTTTCTGTTATAGAACATTTAAAAAACTTTTTAAAAAGTAGAATAAAATGATGAACCTCTGAGATTCAAACATTTTCAATATTTTGCCAATCTTGTGCCAACTATTCCCCTGCTGTTTTTTTCTAAAATACATCAAATCCCAAACATCTTGTTGTTTGACTTGCAGATGACTTGGTCTGCATCTTTCACGGATCGGGCATTTTCCCCACGTAACCACGACACATATGACTATCCTTCACTCTAAACTAAGAAGACTTCCTTTACCTCTATAGCATCAAATACAAGTTCATATCCAAGTTTCCCTAATTATCCAGAAATGTGTTTTTACAGTTGGTTTGTTTGAATTAGGAGCCAAACAAGTTGGCATTTCCGATGATGGAACCTGTTTCAGCCTCTTTCCTCCCTTCCGTGGCCCCACTGGCTGGTTGCAGTGTCTGGGTCATTGGCTGCAGTGCCCCCAACCCTGGATTTGCTGTGTCCTTGTGGTGGTGTTTAACATGCTCCTCTACCCTTGAATTTCCTGTCAATTGCAGTTAAGACGAGGGTACTGCCAGCTTCACAGGCGTGCAATCTCATGGGGCCTTGCACTTAAGAAGGGCTCTGTGCTGGGCTTAATGCTCGGCCAGGTCTGCCCTGAATCTTGATACCTTTGCCTTTGAACTTGTGTTTTGGAAGCACTGCACAGCAGGGGCAGGAGCACAGGAGATTTGCATGATATGCACGTCTGCCATTCCTTGCCTCTCCATTCACACGCGGCATTGGTGACACAGTGAGCACAGAATTCCAGTGACCCTAGGATGCACGGGAGACCAGCAGGACTCGAGGCCAGGAACAGGTCACTGTGTGTGTTTGCCACTGAGTCTGTGGGAAAGCCACACCTTCCACATGAGTCCACTTCAAATGTAGAAAGAAGGCAGTGGCCTTGTGAATAACACCAACAACCAAAGACCCTATTGTACTTTTTCTTACTTATTCTACTTTCGTGTATTAGCCAAGCACTTACACTGAAAACAATGCATGGACGGAAAGAAGACGGGAAAAGCCACAGTTCCTTCTTTCAGTTCTTCCATTTTCACCAGTAAGCTGCAGGCAGTGTCAAGAAGGCAGTAGCACGGCCAGTATCGAGAAGTGAAATCAAAACCCTTGGTTTAGTTTTGCACAGCACTTCCACTGTTAAGGTAAAAATTAAATATACATACATATGTGAGCTACAAAATAGGAATCGTGTAATCTCTGTGTTTCTGCATGGGGATCTAATGCTTTTATATTTGTATTTAAAACTGACATTGCACAATATAAAATGAACAGTAACATTCAGCTAAAACATAAAAATTGAAATTTTCTTTACTTAGGATGACCTTAAGTAGCAAATAACAATGGTAAATTATTAGAGAGAACAGAGGAAAAGGAAAAGTTTTGTTTTTTAACACTGTTAAGAGCAGTTTTCCCTGTTTTGTGAACAAGGGACTGTGTGTTTTCATTTTATAGTTTCTCCCCTAACCTATCACTTTTGAAGTTGCTGCCCTGGCTTCAGAACCTATGAGTGTGGAGTAAAGCCCCACCTACACCTGCACAGAGCTCGGGCTCCCCTCCTCACTCATATGCTCTGTGGTCACTGTCCTCTTCGTCTCTAGGTCCCAGCAGACCAGGAGCACAGATGGGTCAGCCTACTCAGTTCTCCACTGGGCTCCCTGTTCTCAGAATGGTCTGTGTGTGGAGAAGACTCCTAAGTGCCTGGGAATAGGTAAGTGAGTTGGGGCAGAGGCCTGGCAGGCATCCTGGAGAGGGAGGATGTGACGTGGACTGGGTCAGTGATGGATGGTGGGGATAAGGAAGAGAGGGTGAAGGCAAGATTCTTCTCTACAGGGCACTGAAAGCCAGTGCCCGGCTAAGATAGATGTGGGGGTGAAGGAGAGACTGGGAAACTGGGTTCTGGGTTTCTGGTTTGGGCGACTGGGTGGATGGGGTGTCTTTACCTGAGCTGCTTCCTGAAGAAGGGGTCAGGGTTGTGGGAAGAGACTTCGTGTTCCACTTGGGACCTGCTAAATTTGAGGTACCTCAGGATCGTGCCTGTAGCCATATTCATCATGGAAGAGGGCTCCTGATTTGGGAGTTGGTGGCTCATATATTTCAGCCATAAAAAGATATGACATTATCAAAAGACAGCCATGGTGAGAGAAGAGGCGAGGGTCAAGGAGAGAATGTTGGTGAGGGAGAAAAGGGGATCCATAGAGAAGGTCAGAAGGGACAGCCACAGAGACGGAGGAATGCAGGAGGGGGCATTGGCAGTAGAAGCTGGCGTGGGGACTGTTGACAGAGCAACAAGGCAGAGAACAAGAGGAGCCAAGTCCTGAAATGGCCCACTGGGACAACAAGAGGACCCAGGCTGGAGAGCTGTGGAGGAGGCAGAAGAGACAGATCTTACTGACAGATCCGGTGTTGGGGACTGATGAGAGGGAGATCCAGAGGAGGTGGCAGGAAACTTGCAAGGCTCTCATCCTGGGGAGGAGGTGGAAGCAGAGGACGGGAGGCAGGGAGAAGGAATGAGGCTGGGATGATGGAGCTGAGGACGGGAGGCAGGGAGAAGGAATGAGGCTGGAATGATGCAGCTGAGGACAGGAGGCAGAGAGAAGGAATGAGGCTGGGATGGAGCTGAGGACGGGAGGCAGGGAGGAATGAGATTGGGATGATGGAGCTGAGGATGGGAGGCAGGGAGAAGGAGTGAGGCTGGGATGGAGCTGAGGACAGGCAGGGAGAAGGAGTGAGGCTGGGATGGAGCTGAGGACAGGAGGCAGGAGGAGTGAGGCTGGGATGATGGAGCTTAGGATGGGAAGCAGGGAGAAGGAATGAGGCTGGGATGGAGCTGAGGACGGAAGGCAGGGAGGAATGAGATTGGGATGATGGAGTTGAGGATGGGAGGCAGGGAGAGGGAATGAGGCTAGGATAGAACTGAGGACGGGAGGCAGGGAGAAGGAATGAGGCTGGGATGGAGCTGAGGACGGGAGGCAGGGAGGAATGAGATTGGGATGATGGAGTTGAGGATGGGAGGCAGGGAGAGGGAATGAGGCTAGGATAGAACTGAGGACGGGAGGCAGGGAGAAGGAGTGAGGCTGGGATGGTGGAGCTCAGGACCACCTGACTTTATCTAGGCACCTTCCCTGCCGTGCTTCCCACTCCCACTGCGTGGTTTGAATGATGTGTGTCCCCTCAAAATTCGTGTTGAAACTTAACCCCCAATGCAGCAGTGTTAAGAAGTGGGGCCTTTAGGAGGTGATCAGGTCCTCATGAATGGATTAGTGCCTTATGGAAGGGCTTGAGCAGGGCACTTCCACCCCTTCCATCTCTTCTGCCACGTGGAGACACAGCAGTTCTCCGCTCTGGAGGATGCAGCCATAGGGCTGCGGAGATCAGCCCTCACCAGACACCAGACCTACCCTGATCTTGGACTTCCTACCTCCAGAGCTTTGAAAAATAATGTTCTATTCTTTTTCTATAATCTATCTAGTCTGTAGTATTTTGTTACAGCAACACAGATGGACTAAGACACATCCCAACAGCCACATTCATGGCAGGGCTGCCGTATTGGCACAGACTCCTCCCCCAGGCTCTCTGATTGGCTCAGAGGTGGGCACATGGTCCACGCTGGGCCAATCAGAGCCCTTCTGTGCACATACTTCCGGTCCTCTGTGCGATCATGATCCAGTTCTCTACTGTGTTCTCTGCCGTGTACCCTGTGCTGCAGCTGGCCTGATTGAGCCGCATCAGCCCACCCCCTGCCCTGGCTTCCTTTTGGGTTTGCCTGGTGGGGAATCTCAGCAGGGGATCAGAGGGGCAGAGAGTACTGCCAGGGCAGGGTACTTACTCCTGGCTTCATCCCAACTAGTTTCCTGTTGCTGGCTACAACCCCCAGTGAGGGTCCCGGCTCCCCAAGGCAGCCTCTCCACGTAGGCGTTCAGGGCCAGGCTCTCTGCCCTCGTTCCTTTAGGTGAGGGGGGCTAACAGCCTCACCGTTGCTGGCCTCCAGAAATGATGCTGTCCCCTGTGGTTTCCTTGCCCCCCTGCCTACACATTTGTAGATAGTCTCTTTACCAATTCCTCCTGGGATAAACCTGACTCAACTGTGCCAGCTGGTTTCTGCCAGAACCATGGTCTCCACCATGGCATTGGAAACAAAGCTGAGAAAGAGAAGTCATGTTTTGCTTGGGTGGTGGAACTAAGGACATGTCCACTGTGTGGCATAGGTGGGCTGTGGGTGAAGCGGATGAAGGCGATACAGAGCGAGGACGTGGCCTGAAACCGAGAGCAGCATTCTCCCTTCCCTGCTTCCATCCGTTCCTGGTCTGCGTCCCAGCCCTGGTACGTAAGGCTGTCCCAGAATCCCTGTAAATTCACTTTTCTGTTAAATGATTCCAGATCATTCGGTTATGTGCAACCAAAAGTCCTCACCCATACGTCATCTTACAGCATTAAAGCTTCAGGCGACTTGGGTATGTTTTAAAAACAAAAACATAAGAATTGTTTTCTTCCTTCTAGCTACCAACTTACTCACAAACCCAGCACTCTATAAAATGTTGATTTCAGGTACTGTTAGAGAAAGGTGGTCGTTAGCAGAACTTAGCAGGGATGACTCAGGCCATGCACCCTGGGCACTGGGGAAGCATCATCCTGTGAAGGAATCCAGACATTCGAAGAATTTACAGAGAGAAAAATCGATGACGGGACTACAGCCATGCTGTCACGTATCTGAGCCACAGCAATTTTAGCAGAATTTCTAGAGACCATCTAGAAATTCTCCCTGCTTATCCTTTCACTCACCTGACCATCTGACATCCATCCTGGGCCACTAGGTCCTGCTGGTGTCTGAACCGGTCCAGCCTTGTTCGGAAGGCATTGATGCTTAGTGCTGGAGCACACAGGAAGGACTGTGAATGAGAAAACTATAGTCATGCATCACTTAATGACAAGAATATGTTCTGCAAAATGCATTGTTAGGCAATTTCATAATTATACAAACATCATAGAGTGTGCCTGCAGCTCCCCTAGGTGGTATAGCCTATTACACACCAAGGCTGCATGCTGGATGGAGCCTATTGCTCCTAAGCTGCAGACCTGTACAGCATGTGACTGTGCTGAATACTGCAGGCAACTGTGACACAATGCTAAGTATTTGTGTATCTAAACATATCTCAACATAGAAAAGGTGTAGTAAAAATGTAATATGACAATCTTATATGGAACTGCCACCGTATATGTGGTTCTCGTTGCCTAAAATGTCATCCTGCAGCACAGGACTGTACTTCTGTGGGTCAGCTTTACTCTGAAATGTCTGTGTCTTAACCTGTAATATTCAACCTGGACAGTGAAGAACTTAGTACAAGATATGGTGCATGTAGTTTTGTCCTGGCCAAACTTTGTTTTTCAGGTACACAGAGGCCATTGAGAATGTTGAATAATAACTGAAGTTATGCTTCCTGCGGAGATGGTACTAAGAAATGCTGTATTCCAACACTAATATTTGTGTATCATTGCAAGGGGGTCCTGGACCCTAAGCCAAGGACCCTGTTTTGATCAGTTTCTTCATGTGAGGGCTGACTGTGGGGCCACACATTGTGATGGATCAGGAATATCTTTTTTTTTTTTTTCTTTTGAGACAGTTTCACTCATTCAGGCTGGAGTGCAATGGCGGGATCTCGACTCACGGCAACCTCCGCCTCCCGGGTTCAAGCAATTCTCCTGCCTCAGTCTCCCCAGTAGCTGGGATTACAGGCACCCACCACCACGCCTGGTTAATTTTTGTATTTTTAGTAGAGATGGGATTTCACCACGTTGGCCAGGCCGATCTCAAACTCCTGACCTCAGGTGATCCACCTGCCTTGGCCTCTCAAAGTGCTGGGATTACAGGCATGAGCCACCATGCCTGGCCAGGAACTCTACTAAAAATACAAAAAATTAGCCAGGCGTGGTGGCAGGTGCCTGTGGTCCCAGCTACTCAGGAGGCTGAGGCAGGAGAATGGCATGAACGCGGGAGGTGGAGCTTGCAGTGAGCCGAGATCGCACCGCTGCACTCCAGCCTGGGTGACAGAACTAGACTCCGTCTCAAAAAAAAAAAAAAATTGTGTATTTATCTTATAAGCAACAATCAAACATGTGTTACTGCTTTTTTAAAATGTTAAATGAGAACTCAGCAAAACTTCTCCACTCTGAGGTGTTCCAGATCAACTCTGGAGTCTAAAAGCTCTGACCTAGAGAGACACCTTGAGTCAACAGAGACCGTAGGCGTCGCAGTGGGCTACAGAGGAGGCCAGGTGTCCTAAACAAACACATTTGCCAAGCCACCTGTTTGCTTGTGAGCACCAGGAGCAAGAGAGGAGCAGGGATACCCCAAAGTTCTGCTATGGCTTCATCCCTCTGCTTTATTTAAATGCAGTGGGGTTCGGCATGGCTGTTAAACACTAGGTGGTTTTAGAAGTAATGCAACATCCGCTTGTTCCTCCAAATCAGAGCTGTGATCCTGCTCGCCCACTGACTGTATTTCAGCTGCCCGGGTGTCAGCTTATCATCTTTTTCCGCAGCCTTGTCATCATTCTCAGTGAATTCCAACATCTCCTTTTTACCATGATTCACTGAAATCACAAGGCGCATGCTAGTTCTCAGTGTCAAATCCTCCATCTTCCACAGAAGTGCCCCTTTCTTCCATTCTTCTTATGCAAATGTAACATTCTCTTCCAGTTCATTTTTCTAACAGTAACGTTTGTTTAATTCACAAATTAATTCTTGTAGACATGGCTGTTGAATGACCCCGATTGGAAGTGACTTGTCTTGCTTTATGTCCTAAGACCATCTTTTTGGCCTCTATCCATCTGAAGGCAGCTGCATCAGGCCTTTCCTTTCGTATTCCGAATGGGAAGCTGCGGCCCCACTCTCTCCAGGCTGTCTGCGCCGCCCGCTCCCTGTTGGCTAGCACATTGGAGAGGGCAGCCAGGCCCAGGGCAGCTGTGACTGCAGCCGTCTTGCCCTCCCATCTGCTTCAGCAGAGCCCGTGCTGGCTTGGAACACAGGACGGACAGCTTCTCCTGGACCCTGGTTCCTGCCCCTGACCTTGGGATGTCACCATCAGCAAATCCCCAAAGGCTCAGATTGACAACTCCTATTAGGATTCCATCTGCTCATGCTTTAATGTTTTTGACCTGGGAGAGATGAAGGCTTGTTTTTCCTGTGTCCACTGTGGGGACATCAGTGGGGAGCTGGCCCCAGCCCAAGCCTGTGTTCTCCATTGCTATTATTTGCAAGTTAATATAATGATTTGAGCCAAAATAAACTCAAGACAAGCTGCAGAAATTCTGCAAGTTATCTAAGCAAGTGTGTGAGGTGCATCTGATCAAGCCCTTACTGAGAAGGGTGGGTGCCCAAATCCTGCCATTTCCCACTCCTGCTTGGGGAAGGAGCCCTTATGGGTCACTGTGGGGATGGAGTGGGACCGGGGGATTTCTGCCAGAGGCTGCTAATGGTGCGAGGGGTAGGGGCTCTGATTTGTCCTGCCAGAGTCCACCGGAGAAAGCTATACTTTCAGTGTTTGAGGCGCAGGATTCTGACCCTAAGGAAGGTGAGACAAGGCAGGAGTCAGGGTTGGGATCCTTCCAGCAGGCGTTCAGGGCCAGGCAGACACGTCCAGTGTGAGGCCAGGTCAGACATTACTGAGATTCCAGCCATCCAGTGGGTGGGTGAATGGGCTGTCTTTTAAATGGGTGTCCTGTGAAGCCAGGATCATCCAGCCTTTGGGTGAGATGGAGCTGGGCATGTTTTGATCTTTGCTAGGGTTATCAGAATTCCAGACCAAATTACAGCCAATGCTCAGCACCTGATGGGTATTATTGTTTGCTACCCAGGCTAATCTCATGTTTCTACGGTTACTTTCCATTCTCCTCTGTTTCATTGTAGGAATCTCGATAAGCTTTTTAAATTTTTTTCAGGCATAAGTTATTTTCCCATTGATGTGTTGCTGTGCTCATTAGGCTAACTCTTTTTTTTTTTTGAGTCAGAGTTTCACTCTTGTCACCCAGGCTGGAGTGCAGTGGTGTGATCTTGGCTCACTGCAACCTCCACCTTCTGGGTTCAAGCGATTCTTCTGCCTCAGCCTCTTGAGTAGCTGGGATTACAGGCATGTGTCACCACACCCAGCTCATTTTGTATTTTTAGTAGAGATGGGGTTTCACCACATTGGTCAGGCTAGTCTCGAACTCCTGATCTCAGGTGATCTGCCCGCCTCAGCCTCCCAAAGTGCTGGGATTACAGGCATGAGGGCTCTTTTTGTATGTTTTATTTAAGTGTCCAACTCAATGGTTCTTAACACATTCAGAGATAAATGCAACTGTCTTCGTCTTTTTGTGCTGCTGTAACAAAGTACCACAGGCTGGATAATTTATAATGGACAGAACTTTACCAGCTGACAGTTCTGGAGGCTGGAAAGTTCAGTTTCAAGGTGCTGTCAGCCTTGATATCTGGTGAGGGCCCCAGTCTGTGCTTCCAGGTTGGTGCCTTGAACACTGTGTCTTCCAGAGGAGAGAAACACTGTTCTCACATGGCAGAAGAGTGAAAGAGCCGGGAGAGAACTCACTTCTGAAATACCTTTTATTAAGGCGTCACACTCACCCATGAGGGGACATGCTTGTGACCTAATCACCTCTTAAAGGCCCCACCACCCAAACCATTACATTGGCAGTTAATTTTCAACATGAATTGTGGAGCAGACAAACATTCAAAGCATAGCAGCAACCATCACCCATTTCTAGAAAATTGTAAGAAATCCTATGCCCTTTAGTATCGACCTCACTATTTTCCCCTCCCCTCACTAAGCAACTGCTAATCTACTTATGGATATTCCTTTGGGAGTGGATTGTTTTTTGCTTAGCATGATGTTTTCAAGGTTCACCCGTGTCGTGTTAGTACTTCTTTCCTTTCCGTGGCCAAACAGCACTCCATTGTATGGGTATATCACATTTTGTTTATTCATTTATTAGCTGAGATGCATTGCTCCTTCCACCTTTTGACTGTTGTAAATAATGCTGCTATGAACATTAATACATGAGTTCCTGCATGGACATGTTCTCATTTCTCTGGGGTATTTACCTAGGAGTGACATTGCTGTGTCATATGGTAATTCTCTGTTTAAGTGTTTGAGGAAGTGTTGTGCTATATGCTAAAGTGGCAGCACCATTGTCCATTTCCACCAGCAATCGTAAAGATTCCAGTCTCTCCACATCCTTGCCAACACTTGCCATCCTTTATAAATCCTTTTTATTTCTGTAAGGATCAGTAGTAATATGTCTCCTTTATATTTCTGATTATAGTAGTTTGAGTCTCTTCTCTTTCTCTCTCTCTATATTTTTTTTTTTGGTCAGTCTAGCTAAGGGTTTGTAATTTTTGTTGATCTTTGCAAGGAAACTGGTTTTGGTTTCACTGATTTTTTTCTATTATTTTTAAATTTTATATTCCACTAAATCCCAATCTAGTCTGTATTATTTCCTTCCCATTGCTTCCATAGGTTTTATATGTACTTTTTCCAGTGTCTTAAGATGTTAGAAAAATTCGAGATATTACTACTTTTTAAATACAGTCACAGTCATAAATTTCTAAGTACTGTTTTAACTGTTTGAACCCCATTAGTTTTGATATGTTGTGTCTTCATTTTCATTTATCTCAAAGTATTTTTATAATTTACCTTTTGATTTCTTCTTTTACACTTTAGTTGTTTAAAAGCGTTTTATTTAATTAATACATATTTGCAAGTTTCACAAGTTTTCTCTCCATTCTTGACTTCAATTCCATAGGATCACAGAATATACTATCATTTCCATGCTTTAAAATTCTTTGACATTTGTTTATGGCCTAGCATATACTCTCTCCTAAAAAATGTTCCATGTGCACTCAAGAAGAATGTATGGTTTACTGTTGTTGGGTGTGGTGTTATATTGAAGTCTGCTAGATCTAGTTGGTTTATTGTGCCATTTAAACCTATTTCCTTGTTTATCTTCTACCTAGCTGTTATATCTATTGTTGGAAATGAGGATACTAAAATATCCAACTATTATTGTTGAATTGTCTAATTTGCCCTTCATTCCTGTTAGTTTTTGCTTTGTGTATTTTAGTGGTATAGTGTTAGGTGCATATACGTGTATAATTGTTGTACCTTCTTAATGGATTGAGCCTTTTATTGTTACTATTTCTCCCTAGAAACACTATTGTTTTAAAGTCTATTTTGTCTGATATTAGTGTAGCCACTCGAACTTTCTTGTGGTGCTGTTTGCATAATATGTCTTTTTCCATCCTTTTCCTTTCAACCTATATCCTTGACCTAAAGTCTGCCCTGTGTGGACAGCATGTCATTGCTAGATCTCTTTTTTTCTTTTTGTAATCATCTGACCATCTCTGCCTTTTGAATGAGTTGTTTAATTCATTCAAATTTACTGTTGTAATTAATATGGTTGGATTTATGTCTACCATTTTAATTTTTGTTTTGTATATTTTATGTATTTTTTGTTCTTCATTTTCTCTGTACTGCTTTCTTTTTCATATATATGTGACTATTTTCATACATATGTGACTTTATGTATATGTGACTTTTTTCTAATGTAACATTTACATTTTTAATCTTTTTTTCTATAGTTTTAAATGTTGTTTTCTTAGTGGTTGCCATAAGTCTTACCATATACATCTTATCAGAATCACCTTTAAATTTACAGTAGCTTAATTCCAATTAGATGTAGAAACATTTCTCTCTCTCTCTCTCTTTTTCTTTTTAAGACAGGATCTCAC
This sequence comes from Homo sapiens, assembly GCF_000001405.40. NCBI lineage: Eukaryota > Metazoa > Chordata > Mammalia > Primates > Hominidae > Homo > Homo sapiens. The sequence continues at coordinate 189,239 of NW_011332689.1, read as the reverse complement.
TCTTTCACGCAGGCTGGAGTGCAGTGGGTTAATTATGGCTCACTGCAGCCTTGACCTTCTGAGCTCAAGCAATCCTCCCACATCAGCCTTCCAAGTAGCTGGGACTACAGGTGTGTGCCATCATGCCCAGCTAATTTTTGTATTTTTTGTGGAGATGATTTTTTGCCATGTTGCCCAGGCTGGTCGTGAACTCCTGGGCTCAAGCTATTACCTGCCTCAGCCTCCCAAAGTGCTGGGATTATAGATGAGAGCCACCGTGCTTGGCCAGAACACTACTCATATATATTATATTTTTCCTTTTTTGTGGTATTATTTTCATGCAGATTACATCTATAAATGTTACTAACCCAATGATATGCATTGTTGTTATTATCTTATACAATTTTATGTTTCTTAATAAAACTGAGAGGGAAGGAGAGCAAGTATGTATTTATAGCTTTTGTTATATTAACTTCTATTTACTATTTCTGGTACTCTTCATTTGTTTCTATGGATTCAAGTTACTCTCTGGAGTAATTTCTTTAGCCCCATACAGCTTTGTTCCCACCCACCTCTTTTGTCCTGTTATTGACAAGTATATTACATTTCCATATGTTATGCACCCCAAAATACATTATATGCATACCATTTTGTACAATAGCTCTTTTGTTTTTTAAAGAAAGTTATCAGGAAGAATATACAATTACCTTTTAAATCATTTAAGATAAGAAAGGAGAAGTAGCATGCATTTTACTGTCTTTTATAGTTGCATACTTGTATTTAGTGGTGCTTTTTTTTAAAATGTGAATTTGAATTACCAACTGGGGTCACTTGCTTTTAGCCTGAAGAACTTTCTTTAGTATTTCTTGGGTATGCTACCAATAAATTCCTCCAGTTTTACTCATTTGGGAATGTCCTTATTTCATTTTAATTTTTGGAAGATAGCTTTGCTGCATATATAATTTCTGGGTGACAGTTTATTTCCTTGAGAATTTTAAATATATCATCCCATCACCTTCAGTCCTCCATTGTTTCTGATGAGAAGTCAGCTGTTAGTCTTATTGTGTTTCCTCTGTAAGTGATAAGTGGCTTTTCTCTTGTTGCTTTTTCAAGATTGTCTTATTTTCTTTGACTTTCAGCATTTTTACTATGATGTGTTCATTTGTGGATCTCTTTGTGTTTCTTTTACTTGCAGTTTATTGAGCTTTTGGATGTATAGATTGATGTTTGTCGATATATTTGGGATTTTTTTGTTATTATTTCTTCGAATCTTTTTTCTGTTCCTTTCTTTCTCTGTCTCTCCTTCCCCTATCTCTGCCCTATCCCCAGTTTCTATTACTCTAATTATGCATATGTTGGTGCACCTAATGGTCTTATACATTTCTCTGAGGATCTGTTTTACTTCATTCTTTTTTCCTTTGATCTTCATTTTGCATAATCTCAATAGACCTATCTTCTTCAAATTTGTGATTTTTTTCTTCTCCAAGTTTAAATCTACTGTTGAGGCCCTCTACTGACTTTTTTAATGTCAGTTTTTATACTTTTCAGAATTTCCATTTGGCTCTTTTATTAAAAAAATTTTCTATCTATTGATATTCTCTCTTTAATGCAACATTGTTCTTATACCTTTATTTTCTTTTTGCTCATCACCAACCTGGGAGCTAGCCCAGGCTAGGCCAGGTGCATGTGTAATAACCAAGTGGAGTAATGTACACTCCCCAGATCTTGGTAGCTTAGCATGCAGTGTAATATTTGCAGGCACACAGTCTACTGCTGGTCCAGCTGAGGGTCCCAGGCTCTGTCCCCACATGGAAGCTCCTCGTGGTGGGGGCCTGGCCACTGCAGGCTGTGGCTCCTCCGCTCCTGCCTTTGGAGAGCCTCTTCCCATCACTGTGGGAGGAGACAGCTGGAGGGAGAGCTGCAGCTCCTCAGTGCTTTCTCCCAGAAGCCACACGTGCCTCTCCTTTCCATGGCCCCGTGGCCAGGGTTAGCAGCCAGCAGCATAGTCTGCAGAGGCTGGTGCGGAGGGACTCAGTCTCCATGTGCCTGAGGGAAGGAACTGGACACTTGGAACACTGTCTGCATCCACTGCACTGACACTGGGCATCACCGTGGTAGGCCCCCAAGTCTGGACACGGCCTTCCTGAATCCCCTCTTTCTATGTAATGATGAAGCCAGGCTATTCATGCTGAATTCTCCCTGCTCAGGACAGTGCCTCTCTCCTGGTGACTGCCAGCAGGGCAGAGGGTGGTGTCTGTTCTATTGTGGGGAAATACTTTTGCTTAGCATTGCAGTGGGAGTGGGTTTTTACGGCCTGGTGGGGCAGCTGGTGGGCGATCGTCCTAGAGATCTTATTGTAAAATCATCTTCACGCCAGCACGACCTCCCTGCTTAGCTTTGATGACTGCACAAGGGGCTTTCCTCACTTCCAGCATGTGCTGCTGTGAACCTGCCTGGTCCTCTGTGTGGCTGCCACCCTCAGTGGGGTTGGGGTCCTGGGTTGGGGCTGTGTGTCCAGCTCTGGGGAGGCTCCCAAAGCAGGGATGGACTCCCAGGCAAACAGCTTGCCCTGGCAAATTGGACAGTAAATGTGACCGGGTACTGGGTGTCCATCCTACTTCAGATGCCCCCGATCCAGGGCTGCTGACCAGGGAGGAACTGGACTATCAGGGAACAGACACAGTGGCAGGAGCCCCTCTGTCGGTTGCCACACCTTGCTGGCCCCACAATCCATGGAGCACCGAGCATCTGCTTGTCCCCTGGGCTCTGTCCCACCCAGGTCCTGAGCCTCTTTGTTCCTGGCTGCACACGGAAGGGCATTGCCAGGAAGCCCTGGGATGCCCGAGAGGTAGGTTTGTGTGCCATATGGAGGGGGCAGCAGTGTCAGGCCTGTCATGCGTCTGTCATACATGTGTGTTACTCATGGAGTCACAGAGCTGGGGAGGAGGGCCCTAGAGTTCTTCTTGTCTATCTGCCCCTTCTGCAGCTGAGGATACTGAGGCTCAGCACAGGGACGTGCACCTCAGAGTGACTCAGGTGAGAGGACGTTGATCCCGGGTACCAGGTATGTTGGTGGGCTCCAGGCATCACCAGCAGCACCTGCTCCTCAGATAAGGCCCCAGCCTGAGGGCAGAGTTGACCTCCCCCAGTCCCACCAGCACTTAGTGGGCCTCCTGCCAGCCCTTGTCACAATCTGCTCATCCAGTGGTCCTCCATAGAGTATGAGAAACAGAGCTTGGCTCGATGCCATCTTTCCTGGACCTCAGAGGACCCAGTGGTCCAGACTGGATATTGTGGGCTCCCAGGATAGCAGAGCCACCTCCCACCCTCTTCCAATTGACCCCAAGCTCTTGTTTCAATCCTTCAGGAGACAGGAAGCTCTCTGCCTGCAAGTCTTACAGTTCACGTGCTGGAAAACGCTGATTAAAACCTTCTACTCAGCTGCTGTCTGACACTCAGACCCCAGCCCACAGCCCCTCTTTGGATTGCCAGCACATAGTGCCTGGACCAGGGCAGGCTCTCGGAAATAGTGGTTGAATGATGCACCCAGAAAAACCATCATGGTCTGTGGTCATGCCCAGCCCTCAGCTCCCTGCAGTTCCTCAGCCTTCCTTCCTGGATGGGTGCCTGCAGGACGGGCCTTCAAGAAGGAGCCCACAGGTGCACACCTGCCACCTTGACTTGGAAGATGTTCCTGAAGTCGCCACCAGATGGAGCACCTGTTGGAGTCTGAAACGTCTCCCGCTCATCCCTATGCTTTGGGTCAACAGTGACTTTAGCATTGACTCAGTAAAGAAGAGGGTGGCCTGTTCCTGGGCCAAACAGGGATCCAAAGACTCACAGATTTCATTTTTTTCCAATAACCAAGTATCTCACACACAGAGACAAGTGCGGAAGGTAGATGTCACTCACCTGTGCCCACCACCAAGAACTAACCAGACTCGCAGTTCAGGGAGTACTCTGGCCACCCCTGTGCTATGAGGCTTCGAGGCTTTCCCAGGCGGTGGTGGGGTGACCTCCAAGTGCAGGTGCCCACAGCTGGGCAGTGTCCCCGTCCCCTTCTCTGGCTGTCTTGGGACACAGGGATCCAGCCTGAGGGAGCCTCGTGTGTTTCTCCACTTGCTTGGTGCGGGACCTGCGGATAAAACAAGGCTGAGCACCCGCCTCTGTGCCAGCTGCTGCTGCTCCTTTTGTTTTTGGTTGTTTTTGTTTGTTTGCTGTGGCTTGCCTGGCTGTTTAGGGAGACTATTGGCATTCGCTCCAGGAAATCCTCTCTGGGATGGAAGTACTTATTCACGCAGGCGGCTGGATCGAGGGAAGCACAGTTTCCAGCAACTCCGCTTGGTTATGATTAATGGAGATAAATCTGCCCAAGAGAAGCTAAATTTAGCCAAAAGTTGAGCCCCCTGCTTCCGCACTCCGCCCTCAGGCACCGGCAGAGTGTGTGTTGCTGTTGGCCAGAGCCCAGATAACATCAAGAGGTGGAAAACAATCCCCAGAAATCTGAAAAATGTAGAACAAGGAAAGAAAATGTTCAATCCATCAAAACAAACAGAGATACAATCTCACCCCCCTTGGTTTTTGTACCACTGGGTTTAGGGGAAAAGAAAACAAGAGACTGAATGAGAGAGATATGCATTAAAAACACAAAAAGATTGAAGACAGGAACAGAGTGCTCCCGCACAGGGTCACAGGGCTTGAGAGACCCCGGACCCTCAAGTGCAAGGCCCTGGTGGGGCAGGGCAGTGGGCAGGAGGGAGGCCGGGTTCCCCAGGGTCCACGCCAGGTGTCCCTCAGCCCTGGCTTCCCTCCCTCCATGCGTTGCGTGCTCACCTTTTTCTCTTCCCGACCCTGGCTGTTTCGATAATCTTCAGGCTTTGAGAGTGAATGCATTACTCCTGTCATTTATCCCACAAAGATGTACTGTGCTGGGCACAGGCAGGTCCTGGGCCTGCAAAGAGGAATAAGATGGTCCCTGATCCCCAGGACTCGAGATTGCTGGGAGGGCGGCCCAGATGGAGGTGGGAAAGCTGGAGGTGGCGTCTGGGCTGCCCTCTGGGTCTCCAAGCAGGTTCTGGGGTTGCAGGGCTCTGTGAGCTAGGGGAACCCTGCTGGCATGCTGCTTGTTAAGATCATGCTTCTGGTGGCTTCTGTGTCTGGTTGGAATGCTGGGGGGTGGGCACTGGGGAAGCATTAGAGCCCACGATTTGGGCCCTTCTTGTTTTGATTTCGGGTAGTACACCCTTAGGAAACACTTTGGGAGCCACAAGCACCCTACAGATGAAGTATTTTATTATTTTTAATAACTGATCATGAATTCAGGGACCATGAACCATCCGCCTGAAGAGTCAGTATTGCAGAAAGTTTGAAGCATTGAACTCACATTTCAGGAGTGCTGGGTCACTGTGATGGGCTCTGGGGAGTGACCGGTGAGTAGCAGAGGGGCACAGTGAGAGGTGACGAGTTCCTGAAGGTCCCTCTCCCCAGGGGCACTTGGGGCCTCTTGGTGGGTGCTCCAGTAGGGCCCTGGGGGGACACACTGATGTCCCCTTGCTGGTGGGGTGGAAATTGTCCCATCAGGGTGTGCAGGGCAGATGCATCCCTCTCTTAATAAATGGTGATGTGGCAAAGCTCCAGGGTGAGGCACTGAGGGGTGCTGACTTCTAGGAGGATTTGTGTTTGGAGAGTTCAGAGCTAGGCCTGAAAAAATCTGCTGTCACTCCAAGACATTGCACCTATGCCAGGAGTTGCGGCTCCCTGAGAGCTGGTGTCTGACCCAGCAGGTCACCTAACCCCCAGGGGACCACAGGTGAGGGGTGCAGGAGCAGCAGGGGCCCCCAGCTCATGGCCCCACTCCTGGAAATCAGTGCATGGGGTGGGGGGGTGGGGCTGCTCTTCTCTTGTGTTTATCACATCACAGCTGCCTTTAAAATAGAGGAAAATATCTCCTCCAAGCAGGAAGAGTAACTTTCCACTGATTGGCCGTTCTCTCTGCTCTCTCCCTTTGCACAAGCTCTGCCTGTGGGTTTCAATGAGTTCTCTGTTCCTGAACAAAAATGCAGCTCAGAGTGACCTTCCTTTCTCTTGTAGAAAGTTTCATCTTTTTACACATTTATGGTACGCAGAATTCTAAAGTGGCCCAAGGATTTCCACCCCCTGTTGTACCTGCCTTGGATTATTTCCTCCCCTGGGATGTGGCAGACCCTGTGTGATACATGACATGGCAGTGAAGATTTTTCACAAATGTAATTAAAGTCACTAATCAGCTGGCTTCGAGTTCACCAAGAGGGCAACTATTTGGGTGCTGATTGAAATCGCCTGAGCCCTTCACATCTGATTTGAGGGGTGAGAGACAGGGGAAAGGAGGGACTCAGGGTCAGAGACCTGTGCTCCTGCAGCCTGGAGGAAGCTGCGCTGTGGCCTGTAATAAAAGAAAAACTTCAGCCAAATTAAATTTAAAAGAGTTTAATTGAGCAATGAACAATTTGCGGATCGGGCAGCCCCCAGAATCACAGCAGATTCACAGACTCCCGCGCAGCCACATGGTGGAAGATTTATAGATAAAAAAAGGGAAATGACGTACAGAAATTTGTAGTGAGGTGCAGAACGGCTGGACTGGTTGTAGCTCGTTGTTTGCATTATTTGAACACAGTTTGAACACTCAGCAGTCTATGAAGTGTGGCCACTGGGATTGGCCAAGACTCAGCTATTGTTTCAGGCAGGCACATACTCCTAAATTAAGTTTTCAATCTTGTCTGACTTTTTTTTTTTTTTTTTTTTTTTTTTTGAGACGGAGTCTTGCTCTGTCGCCCAGGCTGGAGTGCAGTGCAGTGGCACGATCTTGGCTCACGGCAACCTTTGCCTCCCAGGTTCACGCCATTCTCCTGCCTCAGCCTCCCGAGTAGCTGGGACTACAGGCACCTGCCACCACGCCCGGCTAATTTTTGTATTTTTTAGTAGAGATGGGGTTTCACCATGTTAGGCAGGATGCTCTCCATCTTTTGACCTCGTGATCTGCCCATCTCGGCCTCCCAAAGTGCTGGGATTACAGGCCTGAGCCACTGCATCCAGCCTTTTGTCTGACTTTTAAGCCAGGTTACAGTTCATTCACAAGGACTCAAATATAGAAGTACGGAGTCCATCACAGGCCATATTTAGTTTGCTTTAACACCTGGCTAAGGAGACAATGAGCCGAGAAGCTGCAGGCAGCCTCCACAGATCAGAAGCAGCCCCAGCTGACAGCAAGCAAGAAACGGGACCTCAGTCAAACAGACGCAAGGCAACAAATGACCAACATCCCTAATGAGACGGACAGGGATTCTGCCCCAAACCTCCTCACAGAAGGCAGCCCTGCCACATCTTGATTTTGGCCTTGTGAGACCCTAAGCAGAGAGCCCAGCCATGTGGTGCAGAATTTCTGACCCATAACACTGTGAGCTAATGAGTGTTGATTAAGATGCTAAGCATGTGACCATTTATCACTCGGTAATGGGTAACTGTTACAAAAAGCAATGCAAATCTATGGCACCCAAATTAGAAAAATCAGACAGGAAAAAAAAAGAAAGAAAGTGAAAACCACTAGTAATGAACCATCTAGACATGACTATTGTTAATATTTTGCTGAATAGTCCTCCAAATATGTCGTATGTTTAATTTTCTCTCCCCCACTACGTATCACAGAATTATGGAGCTACAATTGACATGAATAAACTGCATGTTTTAGCATTGTACAGTTTGGTAAATGTGCTGTGTGTTTACACCCACGCAGCCTTCACTGCACAGGATGACGACCATGTCCACCACCCCAGGAAGTCTCCTCACACTGCTCTGAAGTCTCTTTCTCCCACCCTGTCCATCTTTCTGTCACTATCCATTAGGTCGCACATCCAAGAATTGTGTATCAGTGCAGTCACACAGCATGCACGCCTTTCTTTATTTGTTAGTCTTAAAAATCTTTGTGTTTCATTGTGGATGGTTTCTATTGCTGCCTTTAGGTGCAGTAATCTTTTCACCTGCAACCTTAAATCTTCTGTGGATCCCGTTCTGTGTACTTTTCATATCAGACATTGCAGTTTTCATCTCTAGAATTTTGATTTTGGGCCTTTTTGGTGTCTTTAATGCTCTATTTAATGGAACCATCTTTCCCCTCACCCCTTGGACATATGGAGCTGTAAACAAAATATAAAATTCTAAGCCCCCCACCTGACGAATGGACCCTCCCTCCCCTTGGCCAGTGGAATTCCCAAGTTAACCTGAAAAATTAGTTCAGGCTGTGGTGGGAAGGTGGGGGTCAGGCATGCCTCCTTCTACCCTCCTCCCGTTTTAATTCAGGCACAGCTGACCAGCATTAACATTAAAACAGAGACCTTCAGATTTCAGATCTGAAGACGAAACAGACGCTGTAGCAGTAAGATACCAAATTCCAGCCCGACTCTAGTATAGCATCACTTGACAGATTGCAGGCCCTGGAAGAAATGGAAGTATTTTACCCCAAAATATATTTCTTTGACATATTTTGAAACGGCCCTGCAAAGCTGTCTCTCGTGGGGAAAGTCTACATTCTGTAGAGAATCCTCATTCTTTTCTAGGTCTTTTCCCTGATCGGGGAGAAAACCAACAGGCTGGCACCGTTTTAGGTCTGCTAAGAGCTCTGAAGCCTGCTACCTGGAGGCTTCATCTGCATGACACAACCTTGGTCTCCACAACCCCTTATCCTAACCCAGACATTCCTTTTGATTGATTCCAGGTCTTTAGCTAGTGACTCTCAACCAATTGCCAATCAGAAAATCTTTGAATCTGCCCCTGTTTCCAGTTATCCCTCCTTTCCAGACCAAATCAGTGTACATCTTACATGTGTTAATTGATGTCTTATGTCTCCCTAAAATGTATAAAACTGAGCTGAGACCCGACCACCTTGGGTGCATGTTCTCAGGCTCTCCAGGTGCCATGTCACCAGCCATTGGTCACTCATATTTAGCTCAGAAAAAAATCTTTTCACAACTTACAGAGTTTGAATCTGTCAATAGAGCAACGTCGTACAACTACCTCAGTGTCCTTGAATCCCAACCCCACGATTCGTGCCCACTAAGGTCAGGTTCCATTGACTTTTCTCATCATGAGAGATCACATTTTCCTTCTTCCTGACAGGACTGGGCATTTTTAATTGGATCCAGACATAATGAATCTTACCTTGTTGGGTGCTAGGTATTTTTGCATTCCTATAAATATTGGTTTGTTCACACATGCTCTGATCTCTGCACTACCGAACCCTCGAGTGGGTCCCTTCATGGAACCTGGCATTGAACTCTGTGCAGCTCTCTCCTCTGTCATAATACAGCCCCCTCCTCAGATGTTAGACTCTGCCTTCTCAACCCAGGGAGTCCTGCAGGCTGGGCCCTCTCCAGGCAGTAAGCAGGCCCGTGACGGGGCTCAGCTCATCTTTGTTTTCTATTTCTCAAGCATAACGTCCTTAATTTCCTCATATCCAGAGTCCTGAAAAGTGTTCTTGCCTATATTGTGTCTATTTTTTTGTTGTTGATTCAGACAGACGGGTAACTCAGGTTCCTGTTATCCCATCTCAGCCACAGCAGAAATATTGACATATGTTTTGAAAGAGGTAGACTCATACCAGGCTTCATGTTTTGAAACCTGACCACGATGCCTGGAAATTCAGTTTTTGCTCCTCTAAGGGTTATAAGGTCAAATCAACAAACCCGTGTTCTCGGCAAAGCTCCGTTCCTCACCTGTGACCAGGAGTGAGGCAGGAAGTTGCCTGCGCTGATTGTGAGAAGTGGCTCCGGCTCTGATAACGGCGGTCCCAGATGGTAAGATGAGTTCCTTGCACGGGGGCGCAGACCGGGACTGGCTTGGGGAGCCCTCCGGAGTCCCAGTTGCTATCACAGCAGAGGTGTCCCCAGGGGCTTTTATTTCCAACAACACTTCGGTTTTCCTCTCACATTTATTCTTACAGGTGAGCTCCAAGATCTCCAAAATGCTTTTCCAACTCCAGGAAGAATCCTCCTCCTAGGATTGACAAGGGGTCACACTCTCTGCTTATAGTTAGCCCAAAGCCTCCCCACCCTTCCCTGCCTCCTCCGCAGGGCTGCCCTGTCATCCACACTCCAGGCGTTGCTGCCCAGCCCCTCCTCAGCCCTGCACCGACCTATGTCCTGATCTGTCTCTCTCTCTTTTTTCTTTTCTTTTCTTTCTTTTTTTTTTTTTGAGCTGAAGTCTCGCTCTGTTGCCCAAGCTGGAGTGCAGTGGCATGATCTCGGCTCACTGCAACCTCCACTTCCTGGGTTCAAGTGATTCTCCTGCATCAGCCTCCCGAGTAACTGGGATTACAGGCGCCCACCATCACGCTTGGCTAATTTTTGTATTTTTAGTAGAGACGGGGTTTCCCCATGTTGGCCAGGCTGGTCTCGAACTCCTGACCTCAGGTGATCTGCCTGCCTTGGCCTCCCAGAGTGCTGGGATTACAGGCGTGAGCCACCGCGCCTGGCTGCTCTGTCTCTTGAATGGGACGATGGCGTGCCTCAGACCTGCACACACCTGGCCCTGGCTGTGCCCACTGGGGACAGCCCTTCTCAGCGAGAGATGCTTACCCTTTCACTCCATGAAGAGTCCTTGCACTCTGAGCAGTGTGAAGCAGTCAGCAGATCAAACCCAGGCAGAACAGTTTTCAGAGATGGGAAAGTGAGTGGGATTTGGGGGCAGAGGTCCTAGAATCAATGTCATTAACTTAGTGGGTGGTGAGTTAAAAAGGCACCCCATGGGCTTACCATGACTTCGTTTCATATAATCTGTGCAACAACCCTCATCTGTGCTCTGGACAAGGGTGTCAGGGGATGAAGGGCTAAATATCAGAGGCACACAGCTGGGAAGCATCAGACCTGAGATTCGGTCCTGGGCTGTCAACCACCCTCTCTAGGGTGGGACTTTGGGCTTCAGTTTCCCCATCTCTAAATGTAAGCCTGCCCTGGAGGGCAGCCGTAGAGGATTCACTGGGATGGACCAGAGATGGTGTGGCATTTATGTGGAACTCTGTTTTGTGGGTTGCAGACCCCACAAAAACCAGTGACCACACCTGGGGATGGGTTTGTACATTCCTGCCTCCACTGGGGATCATCCAGGCCACTGAAGTGACCCAGGTCCACGAGGTCCAGCAGCATTTCCTTCAACACAACAGCCTCCAATCCTTGCTGCTTCCCACCGTGGGCAGCAGCCAGTTCTCTTCCTGCATCCCCCGCCTCTTGCTACAACCTTGGCTTCTCCAGCAGTGTTAATGACCTCCATCAACGGGAGACTTGAGACTCACTGCCATAGACAGAACCCAGACAAGAGGCTGGCGTGGAAGCTAGGACAGTCGTGGTCCTCAGGGAACATGCCGGCAAGGGGAGCAAGTGGGCCCAAGGTGGGCTCCATGGATCACAGGGTGAGGGGCTGCACAGGAGGCCTGGAGAGCCGCACTCGGGCGTGGGCAGGTCTGAGAGCTCAGGGGCCTTCCCCTGGTTCCCCTGTTCATTCCCTCATTCCCCAAATCCTTGATGAGCGACTGTCACGTGCTAGGCAAGAGAGGGGTCAGTAGGGAAGAGAGAAACCTCTGCGCCTGAGACCTTGCGTTGCAGAGGGTCATGCAGACAAAACACAGGAGCGCATAGGAAATAAAATGACTCTAGAACTGAGTGCCGTGAAGCAGGAAGGAGGGCAGTGGGGCGGGGAGGCAGGCAGGGAGCACACCATGCAGCTGCAGTGGCCAGGAGAGGCCACTGACAGGGGACCCGAGTCCGAATCCAAATGGCGGGGAGGAGGCAGCTGCACACGGCTGTGGGAAAAGCCTTCCGGGCAGAGGGAGGAGCAATGCGAAGAGTCAGGAGTGAGACCAAGATGGTGATGGGACAGAAGGAAGTTCTGTGGCCAGACGGGAGGGCCCAGGCAGAGGCAGGTGGGTCAGCAGGAGGGAGCAGAGACCTGAGGCTCAGGGTGGTTGGAGGCCCTGGGGGCTCTGTGAGCAGCGAGGTCGCATGCTGTCGTTCATGGTTTTAAAAGTTCGCTGTGGCTGCAAGGTTACCAGGGGAGACGAGGCAGAGAGAGGGGCACCCTCACATACCTGATGCAACAGAGGGGACGGGTGCTTTGTTCTGACACTGTTTCCCAAACTCTTTCGTAATGAAAATGAAGTGAGTTGAACATATTAGTCTCATAACTAGAGTGAACCTGTCTCATGGCCACAGAAGAAACCTCGCTTTTACATCTCTCCAGGTTCCAGACAGCGCATCGAAAACCCTCTCTGAAGTTCCTGCTGCCGACCTAGACAGCCGGCCACACCCAAAGCCACCCACACACACGGCACCTGCTGTGGTCCCACCATCCTTTCCCTGTGCTGTCCAGAACAGAAGGAAACAGCACACCCAGGAAATCTTCCAAATGAGCTTCATTTATAACTCACTGTGCTAAAAACTGGAATTCTCTCCAGCTTCAATTCGAGCAATTGTGTAATCACTTAACTACAGCAGTGAAATCAAATGAGAGAAAATTCAATATTAGCTCTTAAGAGAGATGGAAATTGGGTTTCTGGATCAATAGGAGACACTCTTTAAATCACAGTGACAAAAATATTCTACTTGCACTGTCTGGAAATCAAATAAGATGTGACAATTTAGTAATAAGATTCACATATGATATAATATACATTTATAAAACACTGTCCTAAAAATCATAATCTTATTAAGTCTCCATTTGAGATATTGTGTAATCACTTACATAATAGGAATAGAACTAAAAGACAAAAAAATCAAATTTAGAAGTCAAAATTCTGGCTATGTTACTGGGTTATTTTAGTGAGTTTATTAGCAATAATAAAGATACCATAATTACGCTAGTTATAAATAGGATAAAATGTAAGTAACTCACATAAGTTATTTAAATACTCTGAAGTTATAGAACATTATCTCGGAATTAGAATATGAGCAGTTTCCACTTTAGCCATTGAATAGTCACTTAATAGCAATAAAATTAAAAAAGAAAAAAAAAACAGCCGGGGGCGGTGGCTCACGCCTATAATCCCAGCACTTTGGGAGGCTGAGGCGGGCGGATCACAAGGTCAGGAGATCGAGACCATCCTGGCTAACACCGTGAGACCCCGTCTCTACTAAAAAAAAATACAAAAAAATCAGCTGGGCATGGTGGCAGGCGCCTGTAGTCCCAGCTGCTCCGGAGACTGAGGCAGGAGAATGGCGTGAACCCGGGAGGCGGAGCTTGCAGTGAGCCGAGATCGGGCCACTGCACTCCAGCCTGGGCGACAGAGCGAGACTCCGTCTCAAAAACAACAAACAAACAAACAAAAACAGGCTGGGTGTGGCAGTGGCTCCCTCCTATAATCCCAGCACTTTGGGAGGCTGAGATGAGAGGATCCCTTGAACCCAGGAGTTAGAGACCAGCCTGGGCAACACAGCCAGACCTCATCTTTCCAAAAACATTTTTAAAAATTAGCTGTGTGTAGTGTTGCACACCTGTCGTCCCAGCTACTCAGGAGGCAGAGGTGGGAGGATTGCTTGAGCTCAGGAAGTCAAAGGCTGCAGTGAGCCATGATTGTGCCACTGTGCTCCAACCTGGGAAGGAGAGCAAGACCCTATCTCAAAAAAAAAAAAAAGAAAAAAAAAACACAAGAGGAAAAATAAGAATTACTTTACAGAGAGCAACGCGTCTTGCCATAGTTCTGGATCTTAGAAGTGGGCACGCTGGAAGTGGGGTCACTGGAAGGTGACTCACCTCTGCTGAGACACATTTCTCTGCTCCCCAGTGGAGGAGGTTCTGGGCCAAGGACATCCTTTCGGGGAGATACTCGTGGTGGGTGTCTTCCCTGTCTTCTGGAATCGGGGGAAGGATAGAGTCTTCTTCCCAAGAGCTGCCCCCCGGGGACTCTCAGGACGCTCTGATATCTGACAAGAGAGGATGGAGCTGGGTCAGTGGCACCCCTTTCCTGCAGGACAGTTGGATCAGAGCAGCCCAGGGCAACCCCCAATCCCATGGGAGGCGTTGGATCAGGGCAGCCCAGAGACACCCCGGTCCTGTGGGAGGGTTGGGTCAGGGCAGCCTAGCTGAGGGGCATGGGAGCTGAGGCTTGCCATCTGGTGCAGGCTCTGAGTAGGGCTGGGGGGGTTCTGGTGGAGGCTCTTGTTCTTGGGCCTGATCCTGTGAGGGGCTACACCTTGAGCCCTGGGCCCTGACCCCCCACCCACTGGGGCCTGGTGCTCCTGCTCCTCTGGGTCCTATCTTCCCCATGGTTCTCTGCTGAAAGCCCCACAGCAGCATCAGGGATGTGAGGATGCCTCAGGAGCCCCTCGATCCTTCCTCCATAATGTATTTCAGAGCGCATTCTCTTTCTTAGGCTGTGCAGGTGTGTCTCAGCCAAAAGTGCTCTCAACTCATTCGCATGAGCTTTTCTCGCAGGGAAAGTAATCTGCCTTCCATGATGGCCAGGGATTCTCTCTAGGGTTTCTGGAGGATTTGGATGGCATGTTATGCATCCAGCTTTTCCCAGTGCGGTGATCTTGCCATGTGCCCTGGAGAGTCCCCTCTGTCCTCACAGGGCAGACGCTCTCCATCAGTATCTGCCAAACACTCTTTTCCTTGGTGCAGGTTGGGGGTCGGGGAGGGAGATGGGGGGATGGGGGGATGGGTTTTCCTTGGTGCAGGTCGGGGATGGGGAGGGGGATGGGGGGATGGGGGGATGGGGACATGAGTCTTCCCGGGAGCTGAGCCTCTCCCTTCTGACAGTGATTTTCTGAGTGTGGCAAAGCAGTCAGAAGCATGGGGATTTCTCATGTGATCTTCTAAGGACGTCGATTTTATTTTCTACGGTTAATTCTTTCTTCCTCGAGAGTTTCAAATCAGTATTTAGCTCAGCTGCACCAACTGTGTCTTCGGAACTCCTTTTGATTTATCTTCCACGTGGTCTCTGTTCCCATGAATTTGTTCCGTGCCATCCTGAGCTCCCGTCCCCAGCCCACGAGGTCCCCTCTGTCTCTCGTCTTCCCTCGGTGTGCACCCAGGGCTTGCTCTGTCCGCTTTAGAGGTTCCAGTGTTCTCTCCACCACACAGCACATTTACTCCCTCTCCCCTCCGCTCCTTCAGCCCCCCCAGGGAAGCAGCTTCAGGCTTCCCTGAAGAGGGGGATTTTCTCCTAAAGCGACGGGCAGAGCTGCCTGAAACTGTTCCTCATTCTTGTGACCGATCTTCAAGGATGCTATGGTGTCAGCTACTTGATTCTCATGGGTCTGGCCACATTGGATCTTTCTGGAAATGTCAGCCATCAGTGCGGGTTGCCCTAAATGTTGAGAATTGTCTTCTCGTTTTCCTTTGTGGAAGGCATCCATTTTGTGCCCGAGGGGCAAGCTGGACCTTTCTGGCTCCTGGATGAAAGCCTCCAGTTTTCATAGTTTGATGCTGGCTTCTCTAACCTGGGTGTGATGAGCTAGGGAGCAGGGCCTGGCTGGGCCGAGTTGTCCCTCCAGGCGAGCCTCAGGTAAGCACAGCAAGGGTGAGATGGCGGGATTCTGGGTGTATTTGAAGGTAGGGCATCAGGATCTCTGGGTGGATTGGATCAGAGATGTGAGAGAAGGATGCTGACTCCAGGATGCTCTATCGGAGTGACTGGTGTCCCAGGTAAGCCTATGCGTTCAGGATTCTCCATCAGAGTGACAGGTGTCCGAGGTAAGGCTGCGTGTCCAGGATTCTCCGTCGGAGTGACAGGTGTCCCGGGTAAGGCTGCCTGTCCAGGATTCTCCATCAGAGTGACAGGTGTCCCAGGTAAGGCTGCATGTCCAGGATTCTCCTTCGGAGTGACAGGTGTCCCAGGTGAGGCTGCGTGTCCAGGATTCTCCATCGGAGTGACAGGTGTCCCAGGTGAGGCTGCGTGTCCAGGATTCTCCATCGGAGTGACAGGTGTCCCAGGTGAGGCTGCATGTCCAGGATTCTCCTTCGGAATGACAGGTGTCCCGGGTGAGGCTGCCTGTCCAGGATTCTCCGTCGGAGTGACAGGTGTCCCAGGTGAGGCTGCGTGTCCAGGATTCTCCATCGGAGTGACAGGTGTCCCGGGTGAGGCTGCATGTCCAGGATTCTCCGTCGAAGTGACAGGTGTCCCGGGTGAGGCTGCGTGCTGCCCTGAAGGTGATGCATATCCTGCAAGTGTGTTTTCAGTGAGCCTGGGCTGCTCAGAGGCATGTCGTCTTTCCTCCAGAAAGGCGGACACTCCGTGGCCTGTTTGCCTCTGTGTGAACCTAGTCAGATCTCGCCAGCAAACAGACCAACAATCGCCATTAACGATGCCATCCCCGGTGCCCTCAGGTCCCTTGGCAGCATGGCCAACACCCGGCAGCACACTCCCAGGACCAGGGTGACCCCAAGCATCACGGGCTCCGTGACCCTCCTAGGTCCTGAGGCCCCATGGACCGGTGGTTTCCCGCAGCACAGTGGAGGTCCAGGTGTCAGAGACAGGGAGGGGCTGGACAGGCCTGAGGTGGACTCTGCACATCTGGGGTACCCAGGAAAGGCCAGAGCCTCAGACGCCCCTGGCGATGGACAACCTGTGTTGGGGGTTGAGGGGGTGAAGGTGGAGGATGCCTGCACCCCACTGCTATGGAGGCGGGGGCCCCTGATCAGAGCAACCGCTTGGGTCTGGGGCTGGTACGAGTGGCCTGAGTTTGGGGCCAGCTTAAGTCCCCAGGACAGAACACGGCCCAGACTGGAGGGCATAAATTGAGGACGAGGGCCTTCCAGGGAGCCCTGAGGTCCTGGAGAGCAGCTTTGGAGCAGCAGGGGCCTGTGTGTGCACATGTGTGTGCCTGCGAGTGTGGGTGTGTGTGTGTGTCTGTGGTGTGTGTGAGGAGGGATGTGTGTATGATGTGGTATGTAGAGATGTGTGTGTTTGGTCAGCATCTAAGTGTGTGGTGTGTGTATTTGTGCATATGGTATGTGTATGCATGTGTGCAGTGAACATGTAGGTTCATGTGTGTGCATGTGTAGGTATACGTGTGGTGTGTGTGATTTGTGTGGTGTGTGTAGGTATATGTATGTGTACATATGCGTGTGGTGTGTTGTGCTTGTGTGTGGTGTGTAGGTATGTGTAATGCATGTGTGTGGTATGTATGTGTATGTATTATGTGTGAATGTGTGTAGGTGTGTGTGATGTGTGTAGTGTGTAGGTTATGTATGTGTGTGGTGTATATGAATGTGTATGGTGCGTGTGTGTGTGTATGGCTGGTGTGTATGTATGTGGTGTATGTAGGTGTGTACATGCAATGTGCATGGTGTGTGTCATGTGTGCATGTGTGTGGTGTGTGTATGCATGTAATATGTCTGGTGTGTGTGTGATGTGTGTTGTGGGTGTGTAAGTGTATGTGTGGATGTGGTGTGTGCAAGTGTGTATGTGCAATGTGTGTGGTGTGTCATGTATGCATGTAGATGTGTGTGATGTGTCTGGTGTGTGTGGAGGTGTGTGTGTGTGGTGTGTGTGATGTGTGTACTGGTGTGTTCGTGTGATGTGTGTGGTGTGTGTGTGATGTATGTAGTGTGTGTGTATGTGGTGTCTATGATGTATGTAGGTGTGTGATGTGTGTGGTGTATGTGTGATGTGTGTGGTATATGTGATGTATGTGGTATGTGCGTCTGTGTGGTGTGTATGATGTATGCAGGTTTGTGTGTGGTATGTGTGGTGTGTGTGGTGTTTATAATGTATGTGGTGTGTATATGTGTGGTGTGTATGTGTGTGCATATATATGTGGTGTATGTATGATGTATGTAGTTGTATGTGATATGTGTGATGTATGTGGTATATGTGATGTATGTGGTGTGTGTGCATCTGTGTGGTGTGTATGATGTATTAAGTGTGTGTGGTATGTGTGGTGTTTGTGTGCATGTGTGGTGTTTGTGTGTGCATGGTGTGTATGATGTATATGTTGTGTATATATGTGGTGTGTATGTGTAGTGTGCTGTGTGTATATGTGATGTCTATGTGTGGTGTGTATGATGTATGTAGGTGTATATGTGGTGTGTATGGGTGGTGTGTTTGTGTGTGGTGTGTATGGGTGGTGTGTTTGTGTGATGTTTGTGTATGTGTGATGTGTACAGTGGGTAAGTGATGTGTGTGTATATGTGTGGTGCATAGGATATATGTAGGTGTATGTATGTGGTATGTGTGATGTGTATATGTGGTGTGTATGTGTGATATGTGTGGTGGGTGTGTATGTGATGGTGTGTATACTGTATGTGGTGTGTATATGTGTGGTGTGTGTAGTGTGCTGTGCTTGTGGTGTGTAGGGGTGGTGTGTATGTGTGATGTGTGTGTATGTGGTGTATGTGGTATGTGTGATGTGTGTTTATGTGGTGTATGTGGTATATGTGATGTACGTGGTGTGTGTGCACATGTGTGGTGTGTATGATATATGTAGGTGTATGTGTGTATGTGGTGTGTATGCGTGATGTATGTATATGTGTGATGTGTGTGTATACGTGTGGTGCATATGATGTATGTGAGTGCATGTGTGTATGTGGTATGTGTGATGTGTGTGGTGGGTGTGTGGTGTGTGTATATGTGTGGTGCGTATGGTGTATGTACGTGCGTGTGTATGTGGTGTGTATGTGTGATGTGTGTGGTGGGTGTGTATCTGTGTTTTGTGTCTGATGTATATGTGAGTATGTGCAATGTGTGTGGTGGGTGTGTATATGTGTGGTGCATATGATGTATGTAGGAGTGTGTGTATGTGGTTTGTGTGGTGTGTGTAAGTGATGGGTATGTAGTATGTATGAGTGGCGTGTGTGTTGGTTGTGTATGTGTGATGTGTGTGGTGGATGTGTGTGATGTGTGTGGTGGGTGTGTATCTGTGTGATGTGTATAATGTATGTAGGTGTATGTGTCGTGTGTATGTGTGATGTGTGTGGTGGGTGTGTATGTGTGGTGTGTGGTGGGTGTGTAATGTCTGTGTATATGTGTGGTGCGTATGTATGTAGGTGTGTGTGCATGTGGTATGTGTGATGTGTGTGGTGGGTATCTATGTGATGTGTGTGATGTATGTAGGTGTATTTGTGTATGTGGTGTGTATGTGTGATGTGTGTATGTGGTGTGTGTGTGATGTGTGTGGTGGGTGTGTATCTGTGTGATGTGTGTGACGTATGTAGGTGTATGTTGTGTGTATGTGTGATGTGTGTGGTGGGTGTGCTTATGTGTGGTGCGTATGATGTATGTAGGATGTGTATGTATATATGTATGTGGTGTGTATGTGTGGTGTGTGTGTTGGTTGTGTATGTGTGATGTGTGTGATGTATGTAAGTGTATGTGTCATGTGGTGGGTATGTGTGATGTGTGTATCTGGTGAGTATGTGTGATGTGTGTATATGTGTGGTGCATATGATATATGTAGGTGTGTGTCTATGTGGTATGTGTGATGTGTGTGGTAGGTGTGTATCTGTGTGATGTGTGTGATGTATGTAGGTGTGTCATGTGTGTATGTGTGGTGTGTATCTGTGTGGTGTGTGTGATGTGTGTGGTAGGTGTGATGTGTGTGTGTTGTGTAGGCCTGATGCATGTGGTGTGTATCTGTGTGTATGTGGTGTGTGGTGTGTAGGCCTGATGCATGTGGTGTGTATCTGTGTGTATCTATGTGGTGTGTGTGTATGTGGTGTGTAGGTGTGATGTGTGTGTTGTGTATCTGTGATGTGTGTGTATGTGGTGTGTAGGCGTGATGTGTGTGGTATCTGTGTGTGATGTGTGTGGTGTGTAGGTGTGATGTGTTTGCTGTGTATCTGTGTGATGTGTGTGGTGTGTGTAATGTATGTAGGTGTATGTGTGTATGTTGTATGTAGGTGTGATGTGTGTTGTGTGCATCTGTGTTGTGTGTGGTGTATCTGTGTGATGTGTGGTGTGTATGTGTAATGTGTGACATGTGTGGTGTGTGATATGTGTGGTATGTGTGACGTGTGTGGTGTGTGATGTGTGTGGTATCTGTGATGTGTGTGGTGTGTGTGTGATGTGTGTGGTGTGTATCTGTGTGATGTGTGTGGTATGTGTGACGTGTGTGGTGTGTGATGTGTGTGGTATGTATCTGTGATGTGTGTGGTGTGTGTGTGATGTGTGTGGTGAGTATCTGTGTGATGTGTGTGGTATGTGTGACGTGTGTGGTGTGTGACGTGTGTGGTATGTATCTGTGTGATGTGTGTGGTGTGTGTGTGATGTGTGTGGTGTGTATCTGTGTGATGTGTGTGGTGTGTATCTGTGTGTGGCGTGTGTGTATCTGTGTGGGGTGTGATGTGTGTGGTGTGTGTGATGTTTGTGTGTCAGGGGTGCAAGGGCTCCCCCGTGTTCTGGATCCACACAACTAAGGAGAGTGGGCTTCAAACCTTTACTTTTATTTTAAACAGGAAATGTCCCTGTTGCCACTGAGGCTCACGGGGCGCTGGCAGTGATCACACGAGCAGAGAGACAGAGGAAGGAGGGAGGGATGGATTGAGGATGGCGAGTTTCTCCCTCCCTGCCCGAGTCCAGCTGAAGCTCCGGGAGGTGCCCTCCGAGCCGGGTGCTGGACCGTGCGTGGGCAGCAGGCGGGCCCCGAGCGCTCCTGGGCGCCCGGCCGTCTTCCCGGCGCTCGGGATCCGTGGTGAGGGGCGGAGTGCGCGGAGACGGTGACGGGGAGCAGCCCCAGGTGAGCAGGTGCTGAGGGTGAGTTTGCTGGGGGCTGAGCTGAGGGATGGGGAGGGAGGGGGAAGGGAGAGGCTCTGCTTAGTTCAAGACCTCGGGGTGGCCCCCGTGAGAGCTGAGCGGGGTTCTGTGGGAGCCGGGCCCGGGGCCTGCGTGGTTGAGGGCGAGGCCGCTTCTGGGGCTCAGGGCTGCGCCCTGGGTGCGATGAGCGGGAAGCAGAGGTTGGCTGGGCCGAATCATCCCTCCAGGTGAGCCTCATGTAAGCGCAGCGAGGGTGAGGCGGCGGGATTCAGGGTGGATTTGAAGGTGAGGCATCAGGATCTCTGGGCGGATTGGATCAGAGATATGAGAGAAAGATGCGACTCCAGGATTCTCCATCGGAGTGACAGGTGTCCCGGGCAAGGCTGCGTGTCCAGGATTCTCCAGTGGAGTGACAGGTGTCCCGGGCGAGGCTGCGTGTCCAGGATTCTCCAGTGGAATGACAGGCGTCCCAGGTAAGGCTGTGTGCCGGGGCTGGAGGTCCCGGTCAGCCCCGGCCGCCATGAGAATGGAACTCAGAGGAGCTGAAAACACCAGGCATTCATTAATCAGCCTGGAGGCTGGAAGTCCAGGATCAGGGTGGCAGCTTAGACGGGCTCTGGGACTTGGGCTCTGGTGCCATCTTTACCGCACTCCCGCATGGCGGGCAGAGAGTAAGGCGGCTCTCCAGGGTCCAGCCCAACACGAGGGCTCCACCCTGACCTCACCACCTCCCGGAGGCCACCCCATCCTGACACCATCACCTTGGGGTTGGGTTTCAACTTATGAATATGGGAGGACCCAGGGAAGATCACTTGACTAAGAGGCAGGAGACCACAGGGGAGTCTTGGTTCTTCCCCAGGTGACCCTGGAGACGTCCTCAAAGCGCTCTGGGTCTCCATCTTCTTGAAGTCGGCCTGCCCTTCAGGCCTCTTCCTCTGAGCTCCCCCTACCCTCCATAGCTGCAGCACTCGCTGGTCGCCCTGGATGCCAGCCTCCGGGAGCAGAGTGAGGACATGGTCTCCAGTCCTACTGCTCCTCCTCTGCGCTTGGCGCAGATGGCCTGCATACTGCTCCCCTCGGGGCACCTCCCAGGTTCCGTTACCTCAGTGTGTGTGAAAAGAGCAGCCCTCCAGCCCAGGGGCAGCAGGATAGAGGCTCAGCTAGGCCACCAAGGAGCTGGCTCAGGTCCGAGGAGCTTTGCAAAACCTCTCTCCAGTTTCTTTCATTTGCTGTTGAGTGCATTTTTTTTTTTTTTTTTTTTTTTGAGATGGAGTTTTGCTCTTGTTGCCTAGGCTGGAGTGCAATGGCACGATCTTGGCTCACTGCAACCTCTGCCTCCCGGGTTCAAGCGATTCTCCAGTCTCAGCCTCCCAGATAGCTGGGATTACAGGCACATGCCGCCACGCCTGGCTAATTTTTGTGTTTTTAGTAGAGACGGGGTTTCATCATATTGGTAAGGCTGGTCTCGAACTCCTGACGTCAGGTGATACACACGCCTTGGCCTCCCAAAGTGCTGGTATTACAGGCATGAGTCACCATGCCCGGCCATGAATTCTTTTTACTTAAAAGCTAACAGGATTTTATTTTCCTCTTTTCTTACCATCTTTGATACATTTTTTCAAAGCAAAATTTATTTCTAAGGTGTATTTCTTCTCCCTTGAATGCTCTTTCTCCTCCCCATATTTATTTCATATCCAATCAATATTTATTGAGCCTTTTCTCTTTGCCTGGCATATAAAGATTATTAAGAAAATGTTCATGGCCTCAAAAAAAAAAAAAAAAAAAAAACCAAGTTATTAGCAAGGGAGACAGGTTGAAGTCACTGTGGATTAATTCACAGTAAATACAACCTAGAATACTTTCTCCTACCAACCCCACTGTATCCTCTAGGATACACAACACCCGTGGAGATAGATAAAGCTGGTAAAAACAAACAAACAAACAAAGCAAACAAGAACTTGTTGAGGCATACTATTTGCAAAGGATTGTGTTATGTGACTGTTGTACTTGATATCATTCGTTTTTTATCCTTTTTTCCTTTTCCTCTCTTTTTTGCCTTCATTTGAGTTAGTTGGTTGTTTAGTAGTTGACGTAGGGTTTATATAAACTGTTTAAGTGGTCGCATTCTACCTTCAGATAGTATCATACAATTCCATGCATACCGTAAGATCCTTACAAAATGTGTCCATTTCTCTGTCTCATCTTCTGTGCTGTCATCATCCTTCATTTTACTTCTACCTGTGTCATAAACCCCACAGTATATTACTATTATTATTTAAATTGTCAATTGTATTATAAAAAAATTTAAGAAAAAATTCTTAATTTCCCAATAGTCACCATTTTTTATTCCTCTGTGTAGATTTAAGTTACCAGCTGATAATATTTTCCATATACGTTTTTCTATTGCATGTATAATTGCAGAATATATTTTGTTTTCTACTATGACAAGTGACCACAAACTTAGTGACTTTAAGAAACCCCACACGTTTATTATATTACAGCTATGTAAGTCAGAAACTTAACATGCATCTCACCGGGCTCAGATCAAGGCGTCAGCAGGATGCACTGCTTTTTATATGTTCTGGGGGAATCTGTTGCCTCGACTTTTCCAGCTTCTCCCACATTGCTTGGATCCTGCTGCCCTTCCCCCATCTTCGAAACCAGCAACCTTAGGCTAAGTCTTTCTCGCAATGCCGCTTCACTGGTTGTTTCTTCCAATTCCCTCTTTCAGTTGTGAGGAGGCTTGTGATTGCATTGGACCCACCTGAATATTCCCAGATACTCTCCTTTATTTAAGGTCATCTGTTGGCAACCTTAATTCCATCTGCAAACTGAATTCCTCTTCTCCAGGTACACTAGTATAGTCACAGGTGTTGAGAATTAAGATGTAGTATCATTGGGGTGGCATTATTCTGTACATCATGGTCAGTCTTTCTAGAGGTTTGTCATATTTTTAATCTTGCCAAACATCTCTTTGATTTTCTCTACTGCTTTCCTGATTTCAATTTTACTGAATTCAGTTCTTCGTTATTTTCTTTCTTCTCCTTTTTTGAGTTTAGTTTGCTCTCCTCTTTTATAGGTTCCTGAGGGAGGAGATTAGATTTTTAAATGGATACTTTGCTTCTTTTCTAATGTATGCATTCAGTGCTATAAATTTCCCTCTCATGTGGCTTTAGCTCTGTCACAAACATTTTGATATGTTGTATTTTCAGCTTTATTTATTTGGATTTTTTTTTTATTTCCTTTGAGACTCCCTTTTTGACCTATGAACTATTTTTGAGGGTGCTGTTTAGTTTTCAACTGTCTGGAGAATTTCCTGTTATCTTTGCATTACTGATCTTGAGTTTGATACCACTGTGGTGGGAGAACACATTCTGCATGATCAATTCTCTTACTTTTGGTGAGATTTGTTTTATGGTACAGGATATGGTCTGTTCTTACTATGTGATCCTTGGACACTTGAAAGTATATTCTGTCGTGATTGAGTGGAGTGTTCTGTAAGTGTCGATTATATCTTACTGATTAATGGCGTTTTGAGTTCTTCCATACTCTTGCTTTTTGTCTCATTTGTCTATCAATACTTGAGAGAGAGGTTCTAAAGTCCCCAACTCTAATTGAGAGTCTATTTCTTCTTTCATTTCTATCAGTTTTTGTTTAATGTATGTTATAGCCTTGTTTTTGGCTCATACACATTTGGAATTGCTGTTTTCTTGAGCAACTGACTTTTTATCATTATTTAAGGTCCCTCTGTGTCTCTCTGTCTTTTGAAGTTTCTTTGCTATAAAGTCCACTTTAATATTTATGTAGTCACTCCTGCTTACCTTTAACCAATGTTTAGATGGTACATGGCTTTTATTATTTTATTTTCAACTTTTCCATATTAATATAAATTTTTATAGTCAGCTTATAGTTGGGTCATAGCTTTTTAACTTCCAAGCTCTGCCTTTTAATTGGTGTTTTGAGACGATCTACATTTAATGTAAAATAATTGATATGTGAAGGCTATGATTTCCATTTTTGTTATCTATCCTGATTTGCTTCTATGTTTTCTTTTTATTGTATTTCCATGGGTTACTTAAACATTTTTAGTATTCAATTTTGATTTATGTATAGTGTTTTTGAGTGTACATTTTTATATAGCTTTTTTAAAGGATGCTTTGGGCATTGCATTATATATACATAATGTCACAATCTACTGGTGTCATTGTTTCAAGTAAAATATAGAAGCCTCCTAACCCTTTACATCACTTTAACCTCTTTCACTTATAATGTAGTTGTCTTAAGTATTCTGTCTGTATACATTTAGAACCATATCAGAGAATTAGAATTTTTTCTCAAATTGCCAAACATAATTTAGAAAACTCAAGAAGAAAAGGAAAGTCTGATGTATTTACTCCAGTTTTTTATTTCGCTTGTCTATTCTTTCTTCATTCCTGATCTCCAAATTTCCTTCTTTTATGTTTTCATTTCCGTTTAGAAAATTTTGTTTAGTCATTCTTTTAGAATGTATCTGCTGGTGATACATTCTCTTGTTTGCTCTTCCTCTGTGATGTCTTGATTTCCCTTTCATCTCTGAAGGTTACTTTTACCAAATATAGGACTCTAGATTAGTATTCTTTTCTTTCAGTATATAAAAATGTTTTGCCATTCTTTTTTTTTTTTTTTTTTTTGGTCCCCATGATTTTTGATGATAAATTCACTTGAATTGTTTTCTCCTATAGGCAATACTTTTTTTCTGTCTATAAACTTCCACACTTTTTCTTTGTCTTGAGTTTATAAGTTTGACTATGATGTGTCTTTGTTTGGATTATTTTGAGTTTATTCTTTTTGGCATTATTTCAGCCTCTTTTGCTAAGTTAGGAAAGTTTGGGGCACTATTTCTTCAAGTACCTTTTTTAGTCCCACCATCTTCATCCTGTCTTTCTGGGGACTCCAGTGACCCAAACATTAGATCTTTAGTTATAGTCTCATAGGTCCCTGAGGGTCTACTATTTTTTTAGTCCATTTTTTTCCTGTTGTTCAGATTTTCCTGTTTCCAGTTCATTTATTTTCCCTTCCTGTCTCCTCCAATTTTCTGTTGGGCTTATCTACTTATTTTTGTAACATTTTAGTTATTGCATATTTTTAAGCTCTAAAATTTTCATTTGGTTATTCTTTGAATCTTTTTTTTTTTTTTTTTTTTTTTTTTTTTTTGAGACATTGTCTTGCTTTGTCACCCAGGCTGGAGTGCAGTGGCACAATCTCAGCTCACTGCAGGTTTGACTTCTCGGATTCAAGTGATTCTCCTGCCTCAGCCCCTGAGGTAGCTGGAACTACAGGCATGTGCCACCATATTCAGCTAATTTTTGTATTTTTTGTAGAGGTGGGGTTTCGTCATGTTGTCCAGGCTGGCCTTGAACTCCTGAGCTCAAGCAATTCACCCGCCACGGCCTCTCAAAGTGCTGGGATTACAGGTGTGAGCCACCACACCCAGCCTTTGAATCTTATATTTTATTGCTGGGACTTCATATTTTGTTTGCCAAAACAATTTTTTAATTTATTTCAAGCATACTTGTAATTGTTTTTTGAATATATTCATAATGGCTACTTTAAAAATATTTGTCAGATAACTCTTACACCTATGTCATCTCACTGTTGGCATATTTTGATTTTCTTTTATCGTTCAGTTTGAGATTTTCCTGGGTCTTGCTATGGGAAGTGATTTTCAATGGAAATTCATACTTTTTTGCATTATGCTAAGGAAATTTTGATTTAAATCTTCTGTCTTAGCTAACTTACTGTGATACTTCTTTTGCAGGGGAAATGGAGAGGTTGCCTTAGTATTGCCAGCTGGAGTTCCGGCTCCCCACTAGATCTTTGATGGTACCTCTCTGTGTCAGTGGTAGTACCTGATGTGTAGAAATTTATTTCATAAATGACATATCAGTTAGGATCTTTACAACCTCAAGTAACAGAAAATCCACCGACATGATTCGAATCATCAGGATATTTATCATTATGTTGACAAGAATTCCAAAGTTAGGTAGTCTCAGGATTGTTCTTTCAGCTCAGTAATGCCATCAGGCACTGTCTCTTTCTTTCTTCTGCTATGAAAATTCTCAGCCTTATGCCTACATCGCACTGGTCCAGAAATCATGTCTCCATTCCACATCCAAA
This sequence comes from Homo sapiens, assembly GCF_000001405.40. Classification (NCBI taxonomy): domain Eukaryota; kingdom Metazoa; phylum Chordata; class Mammalia; order Primates; family Hominidae; genus Homo; species Homo sapiens. The sequence continues at coordinate 162,391 of NW_011332689.1, read as the reverse complement.
CAAAGGGAGAAGAGCAGCACTAGGGAGCTCTCCCCTCACATCTATCCTTTTTTTAGGAGGAAAAAATCTTTGCCAGAAGTCTTCCTGCAGTTCTCTGCTTACATCTTTTTTGGCATAGGGATGTCAGTGTCATAGGCCCAATCCTTGTACAAGAATGAGTATCTGATAAAGGGGATTAAGATTTTCAAGATCAGTTAAAAAGCATTATAATGTATCAACTGAAATTGGCAGAACAATGTACTCTCCCTAAGTACATGGGATCTCTTTCTGCCTCCTGACCCAATTGACCATCTCTAGGAGGGAAGAAGAAATGGGGTTGGGGGACAACTGTTGGGAGGCAAAAAGTCACCGGCACCATCAGCAATGCACTCATTCTCCTTTTGGAACAACTTCTGTGTCCATTATCTCTTCTCCAACATCAAAACCTAACTACATACCTAACTAAGCCCTTCCACATTGGAGGGCTTCAGCACACAGTACATGCTTCCAAAGACTGTACTTGCTCTGATTGTGGTCACTTCAGGTGGGTCATCATGTAAATGTGTATTCTAAACCTCAGCATTAATTCACATCCTAAGACACGATGCAAGGAGGCACCTCCAAAGGCAGTGGGTGCAGGGACAGGCAAGGAAAGACACTTCCTTTCCACAGGATTCATCCTGACTTTCCTTTCTTGGGTCAGTCTGAGGCATACCAAGCCATACAGGTTTACATGAAGCCAGTTTTGATGGGGAGACAAAAGAATTAAGTTCATTACTCCCCTCCTTATTTGTCTCCTTATCGGCACTGACAAGGGCATCCATCATTTACTCTCTCTAGCTGTGTCCAGATGTCTCCACGATTAGGATTCAAGAAAGGCAAACAAAGGCGCATTCACCACTCTTGCTGCTGACGCTGAAAGAGGCTTGTCAACTGAGATTAGAGGGGGAGTTGCAAGGCAGAGGAAACAGATGGGGAAATGAAAGGACTCAGAGAACAAGAAAAGTGCCAGGGAGATACAATGGGAGGAGGCGCTGGGACATACAGAGGATGTCTGGGGAAGAGAGATAGAGGAGGAACAAAACAGAACCACCTGTGAAAGGCCAAGGAACCTCTTCATCCTCCTTCCCATCCACCCAGCTCTGCATATAAATTTCTTACAGAGAGGACAGAACTTTCAAAAGATACGAAAGGAGCAGTGTTCAGGGTCAAGAACAACAGTACAATTTTGTTGTGAGACAAAATATAAGAAAAATAAAAATACAAGAAAGTTATTGACATTTGAAGGAAAAGGAACATTTTGCCCAAATGTTGCAGAGGATTGCAGCATCTGGTCTGTGTTAGGTGGGATGACCCTAGCAAGACCCCTGGAGGTGATGACTCCCTGCCACCCAAGTTAATGACCTGGAGGTGATGTTCCAGGAGGCGATGACTCCTGGAGGTGATGACTCCCTGCCACCCAAGTTAATGACCTGGAGGTGATGTTCCAGGAGGTGATGACTCCTGGAGGTGATGCCTCCATCTCTCAGAGTTGATATCCCCTGCAGGTGATGCTCCTTGTAGGTGATATACCCATGAAGGTGATGACTCTTGGAGGTGATGCCCCCATCCCTCAGAGTTGATATTCCCTGGAGGTGATGCTCCTTGTAGGTGATATCCTGTTGGAGTTGATGCCCCCTGGAAGTGATGGCTCCCCCAGAGTTGATGTCCCTGGAAATGATCTTCCCTCAACTTGATGTCCATGGAAGTGATGTCCCATGGAGATGATGTCCCCCTGGAGATGATGCCCCCTCAGAGTTGATGTCCCTGAAGGTGATGTCACCCTGGAGTTGATGTCCCTGGAAGTGATGTTCCTTGGAGATGATGTCCTCCTGGAGTTGATGTCCCTGCAAGTGATGTTCCTTAGAGATGATTCCCCATGGAGGTGATGCCTCCTGGAGTTGATGTTCCTTACAGGTGATGTCACCTTGGAGGTGATGTCCATTAGAGGTGATGTTCCTTGGCGATGATGTCCCTTGGAGATGATGTCCCCTTGGAGATGATGTCCTTGAAAATGATGTTCCTTAGAGATGATTCCACCTGGAGGTGATGCCCCCTGGAGGCGATGTTCCTTAGAGGGAATGTCCCCCCAGAGGTGATGTCCACTGGAAGTGCTGTTCCTTGGAGATGATTCCCCCTGGAGTTGATGTCCCTGGAAATGATGTTCCTCGGTGATGATTCCTCCTGGAGGTGATGCCCCCTCAGTGTTGATGTCCCTGGTGGTAATCTCCCCCTGAAGTTGATGTCCTGGAAGTGATATTCCTTGGAGATGATTCCCCCTGGAGGTGATTCCCCCAGAGGTGATGTCCCCCTGGAGGTGATGTCTTCTGGAGTTGATGTCCCTTGGAGATGATGTTCCCTTGGAGATGATGCCCCCCATCAGAGTTGAGGTCCCTGAAGGTGTCTCCCCACTGGAGTTGATGTCCCTGGCGGCGAGGCCGTTCACAAGTGAAGCCCCCTGGAGGTGACGTCTTTTACCAGCTACTGAGTAAGACGAGGGGGTGCTGGCCTCCATGTGCCATGAGGCTCCATGGTAGAGCTGCTTCTGGTTGGGCCCTAGCATTACCTGGCTTCATGCCCCAGAAAGTCAGTTCCTCTCTCTAGTATCCCATCCTTCTCTGGAACATGACGGATGAACATTAGAAGTGTGACTTACAACTGGCTCCTGCCACTCTTTTCAGCAGCTGCCCTGCCCATTCTTCACAGTGCAAGCCTCCCAGTTAACATCCTTGTCTTGCCCCTGCCCACCTCCATGGACCCTGCAAGCAGGAAGCTTCACTTGTTCAAGGCCATGGAGTTCTCCGCTGGGCTCGACTCAAACCACCATAGGGCTCTCCCTCCTTGCCTGGAGCCCTTCCCACTCAGGCATGAACCTTGGCTCCACTTCACTTGCCAGTGATCCTGGATCTTGGAGGCCATAGGATCAGCTGGGGAGTAGTGAGGACCTAAAGTGAGACCGCTCAGCCCTCATGCAATCACTGGACTAAACCAACATCTCATATTACATCAACAACATGGTACATGAATTGAGAGGCTGAGGAAGCTGGACTTTCCTTTTTCCTCCTTAACCACAAGGTCGTGAACATGAAAATTGGAGCTGACCAGAGTGTCAGGGAGTCCTCTAGCTTCAGAGATGCAGGAAATCCAGCCAAGCAGGGCTGGAACCAGCCAGAGGCTCCTGGGTTCCCGAAGCCACAGGGCGGGTGCTCTAGAATTGCAGGCCAGAGTCCAGGTCACACCACCTCCTGGCAGATAGGGCCAGTCGGAGGGGGAGCCAGCCCGTGGAGACTCAGCCTGTGTCCACCCAGCTCTCAGCACTAGGATGGAATGACACCTACGATCCCAAACAGCCCTGCCGGCTCATGCCATCCCCATTTGACAGACAGTTGTGGGTTAAATTATGTCCCTTCCCCCCAAATTTATGTGCCCTGATCTCTGGTATCTGTGAATGTGACCTTTTTTTGGAAGTAGGATCTTTGCAGATGATCCAGTTGTCAGCCTAAATAGCAGACAGAGAGTATCTCTAAACGAAAATGATATTTATTCAGGAGTAAGTTTTGCAATAGGTACATGGTGGGCATTTTCAGGGAGGAAAAGTAAGACAAGAGTTTTAAGAGGAGAAATGAGGAGGATTACCTAATTGTTTTGAAACAATTATCCTTGGCTCCAAAGATCAATAACAAGGGTGGACAGGCAGTTGCTGGCCAGATGTCCTTGCAGAAGATTTTTCTCTGTGTGGTTGCTATGGCCTTTGTGCAAGGCTATGTTTTTTGCAGAGTATTTTTTTTTTTTTTTTTTTTTGAGACGGAGTCTCGCTCTGCCTCCCAGGCTGGAGTGCAGTGGCGTGATCTTGGCTCACTGCAAGCTCCGCCTCCTGGGTTCAGGCCATTCTCCTGCCTCAGCCTCCTGAGTAGCTGGGGCTACAGGCGCCTGCAACCACGCCCGGCTAATTTTTTGTAGTTTTAGTAGATACGGGGTTTCACCATATTAGCCAGGATGGTCTCGATCTCCTGACCTCGTGATCCGCCCACGTCGGCCTCCCAAAGTGCTGGGATTACGGGTGTGAGCCACCACGCCAGGCCCTTTTGCAGAGTATTTTTGGTAGTTCTCTTCAAGCATATGTGCATGCAAGGCTGTGTTTTTTGCAGAGTATTTTTGATAGTTCTTGTCTTCAAGCATACGTGCATGAGAACCCTGCCTTCATGTCCCACCCACGTCCATTTGTCAGGGCTTGACACAAGTGACCCATTTGGATTCTGACAATTTTCACAAAGTTAAGATGAGGTCATTAGGGTGGTCCCTAATCTAATATGACTAATGACTTTATGAAAAGAAAAATTTGGACACAGAGATAACACACACAGGGCGAATGCCATGTAAAAATGAAGGCAGAATTCTGGGTGATGATGTGTTTATAAGCCAGGAATGCCAAAAGGGACCAGCAAGCTGCCAGAACCTAGGAGAGAGGCTGGTAACAGATTCTTCCCGACAGCCTCAGAAGGAACCAACCCTGCCGACACGCTGATCTTGGACTTCCGCCTCCAGAGCTGTGAGGCAGTAAATTTCTATTATATGAGACATCCAGTTTATGGAACTTTGTTATGTCAGCCCCAGGACTCTAATGTGCAAAGACCCTGCAGCACAGGGCCACCAGGTGACCCAGGCAGTTGGAGCATAAGGGGCAGGTGCCTCCCACCCTTGCCACGCTGATAGGAGCTGGTCAGGTTGCCTCACTCCCTCCAGGCATCCTCTCCTGGGTGAGCTGTAGACCCAGGGATCCATTCCTGTCCTTGTTGCCGGTCCCCTGTGAGCTAAGTCTGGGTCTCTGACCTAACCTCTGTCAGCATTTTTGTAAAACCATCTTTTGTGAAAGTCGGAGATGCTGCAACTCTCATGGTCCCTCTGCTGAGGCCCAATAGGTGGGTCATGCTGATGTTGGTGCTGCATAGTCCATTACTGTGAACATTCCTGAGTCCACCCAGGAGCGAGGCTCAGGGTTCACTTCTGGGTGTGCCGAAGGGGATAAAGCAGGCTCGGCCACCCTCATGGGAGCCTGGATTCTCCCTCAGAGACACAGCAAAGGGAGGGGCTACATATAGGTGGGCATATAAAGGAGTTTGATGCTGCCGATGAGCTTTAAGGCTCTGGGGTCAAAAATGAGCGTGGGGTGTGTGCACACACATGCCTGGCTTCTCTAATACTGGATGCACCTGCACCTTGGAGGGGTCCCAGCTCACAGGCCAAACAGCAGGAGGAGGTGGAGAAATGGCCTCAGGTCTGGTGACAAAACACCAGGGCAGTGGAAGGCTGCAAGTAAACGTTTTTCATGTACACTGGAATAAAACTGTCAGCCTTGTACTTCCTTTGCCAATTTCCTTTTCAAGGCAAGGGAAACAGAGCCAGCTGTGAGCCTAACACAGCAGGACATTTTGCTCGGGTACCAGTGTAGTTGACATCAAACTCAATGGGATCAGTATGGGCTTAGGTTGTCAAGGGAACCTAAGATCCCTTTTGCCACCCAGAGCCTGTTCAGAACGGGGACATCTAGTCATGGAAAATGGTAAAATTATCATAAGATCAAAGAGCAACTTGTGCGAAAGGACCTCTCTTCTTCAAGGGAAAAATCAGACTAGATTGATAGACAGTTGGGAATCTAGCTCTGGTTTGATTCTTAGATGAAGGAGAGCCCGAGGTAAAAATCAGAAAAGAGACCACATTAATTTTCAGGACCAAAAAAGTAGGAAAAAATAACTTTTTCTGAACAGAATGTTCTTGGTTGACAGGGATGCCTATAAGTGAGACCAGCCTGGAAGGCAAGGTTGTGTCATGCCTGGAAGCCAAAGTCCCTGGGTAGTCCCTGCGCCCTTTTTAACCGCTGGGCAACATGGGGAAGGCACGTGGCTTCCCCGGGTCTCCCTTCCCTTCCCTGTGTGCTGGTGGACTGGAGCGGGAGGGCCTCTGATCTGCAGGTGCCGAGGTCCCAGACTCTCCCCAGGTGGAGCCAGGCTCCGCCTGATCAGGGGAGGAGGCTGCAGGATTCTCATCCTCATACTGAGCTGGAAGGAGCTGGGTCAGCAAGGAATGGCCTGTTCCTCAGCCGGATGGTGAAGAAAGTAAGGCAGCATGAGAGGCCTGCTTGACACTTTTATCCATTTTGCTACTGGGATTCCCAATCAGATTTTATTTTTCAAAAGTGTTTGTGCTAATTGTTTGACAAATATGAAATTAATCAGAGTTCAGCGGTGTAGCTGACATGAGCTCTCTGTGTGAAAATCCAAATCTTGCCTATGCACCAGTAGACATCAATTAAAAAATTATAGTACAAAAACAGATTGTGTTTCAAATCCCTACAAAAATATGTCCTTAGAAACATGCCTGAGAATTGTTTTATGGAGAAAGTCATACAGATTTCCTGACAGACAAGAGGACAAGAAAAAATCGAGAAGGATGCCATGTCATAGGAGGGAAAGACTCCTTGTTGTAAACGTATCAGTTCACCCCAAATTAACTTATAAAATCAATGCAAATCTAATCAAAATCGCAAAAATGTAATAGAAAAAAAAGAGTTTTCAGAGGATGTCAGCAAGATGGCTGATCAGAGTTACCTGCAGCATCCCCTGCCCCACAACACACACAAAAAGTACCAAAACAACAAATAAGCAACTGTATTTCAACCAGCATGACTGAGGATGTACACTGGAGAGCACCAGGGCCGTGGCACAGTCTGTGGAGCACAGAAGCCCAGGATAGCACCGTAAAGACGAGAGCAAGGCATCCTGCTTCTGCCACACTGTGTCCCCCGCCCAGGACTGGCTCAGAGTCAGGGCCGATTTCTTCTTACGGGTAATGGAGATCCACAGCACTCCTCATTGCTTTCACAAACACCAGCAATCCTTGCTACGGGAAGGGCCCCCAGTCCTCACAGGCCCCAAATCCAGTTTGGAGAGTAGCTGGGACTTGTTGCAGTTATATTACCTGAGTAGGAGCCTGAACTGAGTGCCCCCAACCCTGTTACCTAAGCTGCTGCAACTCAACACCATTTTGAAACTGAACCTACTAATAGGGTATGCCCTGTCCTGGGGATGAGTAGCAACCAACTATATCCATCCTTCAGGCCCTACTGTCACTACCATGTTCACACAGGTGCCTGCAGTACCTTGAACCCAACTTCCCAGAGCCTAGCCCAGACAGAACACCTGAGACCCCACCCAGCATCTGAACCCATGTGGCACACCATCCCCACCACCCCCCCACCCAGGGAACAGGTGGGCCTGCACAGCAGAGCAGTCACCCAACAGCTGGCTGGTCACCTCACCTACATGCACCTGAAATGCTTAGCCAGTCAGCCCTCTGAGCTTATGCATGTCTCTGCATAGATCAACAGCCAGCCCTGTGATGACCTTGCCCTGCTGGGTAGATTGCTATAAAGCCACCTAGCCCTACTGCATCCACATGTACCTGTCCCAATATCCAGTCCACCAGCAGCCCTGTTTCCCTAAAGAGACAGTACATACACAGTTTCCTGGCCAGCCATGCCCACGCATGCCTGAGTCTTGCATTTAATTCACCTTTTCTTGCTTCCAGAGAACCCAATGGACAGCTTTTTGGCCCTCCATATCCGTATGTGCCCAGCCCAACAACCAGCTCAGCACTCCCTCCCCCAGCAAAACCACACCACTACCATCACAAACTCCCATACCCTACACCACTGAGGCAATCACAGACCTTGATGATGAAGATTATTATATGATATGAGGAAACTATATGACAGCTGCACTACTGAGTCCACCCAGAACCAAAGCCAACATCCTAGGACATATCTACAGGAAAATGTCTTTCCCTATGAAACCTACTCCATAAAATTGGAAAAAGTGGCTATTCCACTAGATGCACAAATATCAATGTAGAAACATGAAAAAGCAAGAAAGCATGGCACCCCCAAAGGAACACAATAAATCTCCATTAGCAGACTCCAAAGATAAGGACATTTGTGAAATGCTTAAAAAGAATGTAAAATAGTGATCTTAAGGAAACTCAGTGAGCTACAAGGGAACACAGACAAATCAATAAAATAGTTTTTACAATTTCATGATTGGAATGAGAAATTCAATAAAAACACAGATAACATAAAAATAACCATATAGAAATCTTGGAGCTGAATAATTCAATAAATGAAGTTAAAAATACAATTGGGATTTTCAACAACAGAGCAGATCAAGCAGACAAAAGAATTTCAGAACTGAAGAACAAGGCATTTGAAATAACCCAGTCGGAGGGGACAAAAATAAGTAAGAATAAAAAAGAATGAAGAAAGCCTACAGGACTTATGAAACAACAACTAAGCAAACACATATTCATGATATAAGAATGTGAGAGAAAAAGAATGAAGAAAGGTACAGTAAATTTATTTAACAAAATAATAGCTAAAAACTTCTCACATATCAGGAGAAATATGGACATCCAGATGCAAAAAGTTCAACAGTCCCGAATTAGATTCTGCCCAAAATGACTCTCTCAGAGGCATATTATAATCAAACTCTTTAAAGACAAAGAGAGAATTCTAAAAGCAACAAGAGAAAAGCATCAAGTCACATATAAGGGAATCCTCTTTAGATTATTAAGAGATTTCTCAGCAGAAACCTTTCAGGGCAGGAGAGAATGAGATATTCATAGTGCTGAAAGAAAAAAAAAAAGCCTGTCAGACGAAATTACTATATCCAGCAAAGCTATCCTTTAGAAATGCAGGAGATGTAAAGACCTTAGACAAGCAAAAGCTGAGAGAATTTATTACCGCTAGACTGGTCTTACAAGAAATGCTTAAGACAGTGCTACAACTGGAAACAAAAGTGATAATTACCATTATGAAAAAATATGAAAGCATATAACTCACTGCTATAAATACATTCATAATCATACTCAGAATACCCCAGTGCTATAATGCGCTGGGTGCCATTATAAAGTTTTTTTTTAATTTTTTTTATTTCCATAGGTTTTTTTGGGAACAGATGGTGTTTACTTACATGAGTAAGTTCTTTAGTGGTGATTTGTGAGATTGTGGTGCACCTATCACCTGAGTGATACCATGAACCAAATTTGTAGTCATGTATCCCTCACCCCCTTCCCATCCTTTTCCCCTTAGTCCCTAAAGCCCACTGTATCATTCTTATGTCTTTGCATCCTCATGGTTTAGCTCCCACTTATGAGTGAGAACATATGATGCTTGGCTTTCTGTTCCTGATTCACTTCACTTAGAATAATAGTCTCCTGGGCTGGGTGTGGTGGCTTGTGCCTGTAATCCAAGCATTTTGGGAGGCCAAGGTGGATGGATCACCTAAGGTCAGGAGTTCGAGACCAACCTGGCCAATATGGTGAAACCCTGTCTCTACTGAAAATACAAAATTAGCCAGGTATGGTGGTGCATGCCTGTAATCCTCACTACTTGGGAGGCTGAGGCAGGAGAATTGCTTGAACCTAGGAGGTAAAGGTTGTAGTGAGTCAAGATCGTACCATTACACTCCAGCCTGGGCAACAAGAGTGAAACTCTGTCTCAAAAAAAAGAATAATAGTCTCCAGTCCCATCAAGATTGCTGCAAATGCCATTAATTCATTTCTTTCTATGGCTGAGTAGTATTCCATTGTGTATATGTACCACCACAGTTTCTTTATCCACTCATTGATTGATGGGCATTTGGGGTGGTTCCACATTTTTTGCAATTGCAAATTGTGCTGCTATAAACATGCATGTGCATGTATCTTTTTCTTATAATGACTTCTTTTCTTCTAGGTAGATAGTAGTGGAATGGCTGGATCAAATGGTAGGTCTACTTTTAGTTCTTTAGGGAATCTCAACATTGTTTTCCATAGTAGTTGTACTTGTTTACATTCCAACCAGCAGTGTAGAAGTGTTTTCTTTTCACTACATTCACACCAACATCTGTTATTTTTTTATTATGGGTGTTCTTGCAGAAGTAAGGTGGTATCACATTGTGGTTTTAATTTGCATTTTTCTGATCATTAGTGATGTTGAGCATTTTTTCATATGTTTGTTGGCCATTTGTATATATCCTTTTGGGAATTGTCTATTCATGCTCTTAGCCCATTTTTGATGTTTTCTTTTTTCTAATTTGTTTGAGTTCCTTGTAGATTCTGGTGCATTTAGGCCATTTACATTCAACATTAGTATTGAGATGTATTATTTCATTCATTGTGCTATTTGTTGCCTGTAAAGCTTAGGTTTTGTTTGTTTGTTTGTTTTCTGTATTTTATATGTCCTGTGAGAGTCATGCTTTAAAGAGGTTCTGTCTTCATGTGTTTCCAGGATTTGATTCAAGATTTAGAGCTCCTTTTAGCAGTTCTTGTAGTGCTAGCTTGTTAGGGGCGAATTCTCTTAGCATTTGTTTATCTGAAAAAGACCCTATCTTTCCTTCATCTATGAAGCTTTGTTTCTCTGGCTACAAAATTCTTGGCTGATAATTGTTTTGTTTAAGGAGGTTGAATATAAGGCCCCAATCCCTTCTAGCTTGTAGGATTTCTGCTGATAAATCTGCTGTTAATCTGATAGGTTTTCCTTTATAGGTTACCTGGTGTTTTTGCCTCCCAGCTCTTAAGATTCTTTCCTTCATCTTGACTATAGATAATCTGTTGACAATGTACCTAGGCAATGATCTTTTTGTGATGAATCTCCCAGGTGTTTTTTGAGCTTCTTGTATTTGGATGTCTTGGTCTCTAGCAAGACTGGGAAGTTTTCCTTGATTATTTCTCCAAATATGTTTTCCAAACTTTTAGATTTCTCTTTTTCCTCAGGAACACCAATTATTCTTGGGTTTGGTCATTTAACATAATCCTAAACTTCTTCAAGGCTTTGTTCATTTTTTAAATTCTTTTTTCTTTATCCTTGTTGGATTGGGTGAATTTTAAAACCTTGTATTTGAGCTCTGAAGTTCTTTCTTCTGCTTGTTCGATTCGATGGCTGAGACTTTGCAGAGAGTTTTGCATTTCTCTGTGTCCTTTATTTCCTGAAGTTGTGACTGTTTTTTATTTATGCTGTCTATTTCTCTGAATACTTCTCCCCTCATTTCTTGTATCATTTTTTTCCCCTTAAATTGGACTTCTCCTTTCTCTCATGTCTCCTCATTAGCTTAACAATCAACCTTCTCAATTCTTTTTCAGGTAAATCAGGGATTTCTTCTTGGTTTGGATCCATTGCTGGTGAGCTAGTGTGATTTTTTGGGGGGTGTTAAAGACCTTGTTTTGTCATATTACCAGAAGTGTTTTTCTGGTTCCTTCTCATTTGGATAGGCTATGTCACAGGGAGGATCTGGAGCTCCAGAAGGCTGCAGTTCAGATTCTCTTTTTTTTTTTTTTTTTGATGGAGCCTCGCTCTGTTGTCCAGGCTGGAGTGCAGTGGCATGATCTCAGCTCATTGCAAGCTCCACCTCCTGGGTCCATGCCATTCTCCTCCCTCGGCCTCCCAAGTAGCTGGGACTACAGGTACCCACCACTGCGCTCGGCTAATTTTTTGTATTTTTAGTAGAGACAGGGTTTCACTGTGTTAGCCAGGATGGTCTCGATCTCCTGACCTCATGATCCACCCTCCTTGGCCTCCCCAAGTGCTGGGATTACAGGCATGAGCCACCCCACCCGGCCAAGGCTGCTGTTCAGATTCTTTTGTCCCATGGGGTGTTTCCTTGATGTAGTGCTCTCCCCCTTTTTCCTAGGGATGTGGCTTCCTGAGAGACAAGCTGTAGTGATTGTTATCTCTCTTCTGGATCTAGCCACCCCGCAGGGCCACCAGGCTCCAAGCTGGTACCGGGGGTTGTCTGCACAGAGTCCTGTGATATGAACTATCTTTATATCTCTCAGCCATGGATACCTGAACCTGCTCCGGTAGAGGTGGCAGGGGAGTGAAATGGACTCTGTCCTTAGTTTTGGTTATTTAATGCACGATTTTTTTGCGGTTGGTTTCCTGCCAGGAGGTGGCAATTTCAAGAGAGCATCAGCTGTGGTAGTATGGATCAGGCAGTGGACAAGCCCTAGAACTCCCAAGAGAATATGCCCTTTGTCTTCAGCTACCAGAGTGGGCAGGGAAGGACCATCAGGTGGGGGCAGGATTAGGAATGTCTGAGCTCAGAATCTCCTTGGGTGGGGCTTGCTGAGGCTGCTGTGGGGGATGGGGGTGTGGTTCCCAGGTCAATGGAGTTATGTTCTCAGGAGGATTACGGCTGCTGCTGCTGTGTCATGTGGGTTTTCAGGGAAGTGGGGGGAAGCCGGCAGTTATAGGCCTCACCCAGCTCCCACACAGCCCAAAAGGCTGGTCTCACTTCCACTGTGCCCACCCCTCCAACAGCACCAAGTTCGTTTCCAGGTAGTGGGTGAGCAGGGCTGAGAACTTGCCCCAGGCTACCAGCCTCTCAGCTTAGAGAGCAAGCAGGTCTTTTGTGCCTCCCCACCTGTAGAGTCTGCACACCAGATTTATGCCTTCCCCCAAGTTCTGGCCAGGAGACTTCAGGTTTGTTTGGAATTGTTATAAATTGACTCAACTCCAGGTAAGGTCAAATCCTTCTCCCATGATCTAGATCTTCAGGTTCCCCAGTGAGGGTGTGTGTTCTGGGGTGGACAGTCCCCCTTTCCCACTTTCACAGCTTGGGCGCTCACGGTGTTTGGGTTGTCTCCCAGGTCCTACAGGAGTAATCCACTTCCTTCAGAGGGTCTGTGGATTCTCTCAGCTTTCCTGATGTGTTCCTGCAGTAGTTCTGGAGCAAAAGTTCACAATGCGAGTCTCCACATGCTGTTCTGTCTGTCTTAGTGGGAGCTGCAATCTAGTCCTGCTTCCTATCTGTTATTTCCCTCTCTGTCTATTATGAAGTTTTCAAGTCAAAATAACATCAGCTACAGTTAATGGATAAGGACCACACAATATATACAAAAGTAAATTAAGGGAACATTAATAATTTTTTTTTGGAAAGAGGGAAAAATCTAGAATATTTTCATGAAACCAAAGTTTAGTTGCTATCAGCTTAAAATAACATATTATAACTACAAAACCCTTTATGTCAGCCCCATGATAACCACAAAGAAAGAAATTACAGCAGATACACAAATGAGAAAGAGAAAGGAAACACAGCTTAGCACCTTAGAAAACCATCAAACCACAAAGGTAAACAACAAGAGAGGAAGAAAGGAACAAAGGATCAACAAAACAACCAGAGAAATGTTAACAGAATGGCAGGAATAAGTTCTTGTCTATCAATAATACCTTTGAATGTAAATGGATTAAATTATCTGATTAAAATATATAGAGTAACCAAAATTAACAACAAAAAAGACCCAACTATATGTTGCCTACAAGAGACTCACCTCATTGTTAAAGACAGACTGAGAATAAAGGAATGGAAAAAAATTTTTCATGCAACCAGAACCCAAAAGCAAGTAAGGGTAGCCATACTTATATCAGATAAAATAAATTTTAAGTCAAAAACTGTACAAGGAAACAAGTAGGTCATTAGATAATGATAGGGATCCCTATTTGATACACAGGGATCAATTCATCAAGAAGATATAAAAATTGTAATTATATATGCACCCAACACCAGAGCACCCAGATACATAAAGCAAATATTATTAGACTTAAAGAGAGAGATAGACTCCAATACAATAATAGTAGGGTATGTCAGCACCTACTTTCAACAACAGATATATTATCTAGACAAAAAAGTCAACAAAGAAACACTGGACTGAAACTGAACCATAGATCAAATGTACCTCACAGATATTGAAAGAACATTCCACTTGGAAGCTACAGAATACACATTCTTCTCAACTGCACGTGGAACATTCTGCTGGATAGATCACATTAGGCTACAAAACTAGTTAAGAAACTTAAGAAGACAGAGATTATATCAAGTATCTTTTCTGACCCCAGTGGTATAAAACTGGAAATGAACAATAAGAAAAACTTTGGAAACTTTATAAATACATGGAAACTTGTCAACATGCTCCTAAGCAACCAGTGGGTCAATGAAGAAATTAAAAGAGAAATTAAAAATTTCCTTGAGACAAATGAGAATGGAAACACATCATACCAAAAACCTATGGGACACAGTAAAGCAGTTCTAAGAGGAAAGTTCATAGCAATAAATGACTATATTAAAAAAGAAGAAAGATTTCTAATAAACAATCTAAAGATACACTTCAAGAAACTAGAAAAATAAGAACAAACTAACCCAAAATTTGTAGAAGGATGGAAATAATAAAGTTCAGAGTAGAAATAAATGAAAGAGGTTTAAAAAATTGTTAAGATCAATAAAACAAAGAGTTAGATATTTGAAAGGATAAACAAAATTGACAAGCCTTTTGCTAGATTAAGAAAATAAAAGAGAAGACTCAAATAAATAAAACCAGAGATGAAAAAAGAGACATTATACCTGGCACCACAGAGATACAAAGTATGATAAAAAATGATTATGAATAACTACACCAACAATTTCTTTTTAGACAGGGTCTCACTCTGTCACCAGACTGGAGTGCAGTGGCGTGAGCTGGATCATAGCTCACTGTAACCTTGAACTCCTAGGCTCAAATGATCCTCCTCCCTCAGTCTCTCAAGTAGCTGGGACTACAGGATTGCACCACCACAACCTGCTAACTTTTTATTTTTTGTAGAGATAGGGTCTTGCTATATTGCCCAGGCTGGGTCAACAAATTTGATAACTCAGAAGAAACAGATAAATTTCTAATCACATATAAACTACCAAGATTAAATTATAAAAAAATAGAAAATCAGAGCAGACTGATAATGAGTGAGGAAATTAAATAAGTAATAACAAGCCTTCCTTTAAAGAGAAGCCCAGGACCTGATGGCTTCACTGCTGAATTCTGCCAAGCTTTTAAGAATAATAATACAAATTCTCCTCAAACGATTCCAGAAAACTGAAGAGGAGGGAATATGTACAAACCCATTTTGTGAGGACACCATTACCTTAATTCTAAAACCAGACAGGGATGCAAAAACAACAATAACAATGAAAACTACAGGCCAATATCTCTGATAAACATAGATGCAAAAATTATCAACAACGTACTAGCAAATTGAATCAAACAGCACGTTAAGAAGATCATTCACTATGGTAAAGCACATTTCATCTTAGGGATACAAAGATGGTTTAACACACAAATCAATAAATGTGATATACCACATTAACAGAAAGAAAGACAAAAATCATACGATAATTTCAATAGACACAGAAAAAGCATTTGACTAAATTTAACATTTCTTCTCTCAAAAAATTTGGTATAGAAGTTATGTCCCTCAACATGATAAAGGCCATTTATGACAAACCAACAGCTAACGTCAGAATGAATGATGAAAATAATATCAGGAACCAGACAAGGATGCTCACTTTCACCAATTCTATTCAAGATAGTAGTAGAAGGCTTAGCCAGAGCAATTAGGCAAGAAAAAGAAATAAAAGGCATCCACATTGAAAAGGAGAAAGTTAAATTGTTCCTATTTGCATAAAATACAATCTTATGTATAGAAACCCCTAAAAACCACCAAAAGCCTGTTAGACCTAATTTTAAAAATTCAGTAAATTTGCAGGGTATAAAATCAACATAAAAAAATCTGTAGTATTTCTACATGCTAATAGTGAACCATCTGAAAAAGAACTGAAGAAAATAATTCCATTTAGAATAGCTACAAAAAATAAGCTAGCTAGGAATAAACTTAACCAAGGATGTGAAGATCTCTACACTGGAAACTATAATACTTTGATGAAAGAAATTGAATGGGACACAAATAGATAGAAAAATATTCTGCATTCATAAATTGAAAGAATATTTTTAAATGGCTATATTATTTAAAGCAATCTACAGATTTAATGCAATTCCTATCAAAATACCAATGTCATTCTTCACAGTCATAGAAAAAAAACCCTAAAATTAATATAGAACAACAAAAGACACTGACTAGCCAAAGCAATCCTGAACAAAAAGAACAAAGCTGAAGGCATCACACTACCTGACTTCAAAATTTATTATGAAGCTATAGCAACTAAAACAGCACGGTACTGGCATAAAAACAGACACATAGACCAGTGGAACAGAATAGAGAGGTCAGAAATAAATTCACACATCTACAGCCAATTGATTTTTGACAAAGGTGACAAGAACTCACATTGAGGAAGAGATAATCTTTTTAATAAACTGTGCTGGGAAAATTGTATATCAACATGCAAAAGAATGAGGCTAAATCCCTACTTCTCACCATATAAAAAAATCAACTCAAAATGGATTAAAAACTTAAAAAATCTGAAGCTATGAGGCTACTAGAAAAAAAACAGGGGAAACACTTTGCAACATTGGGTTGGGCAAGGACTTTTAAAATAAGAACATAAAAGAATAGAAAAAAAACCAAAATGGACAAGTGGGATTACATCAAACTAAAAAGATTTTGCATGGAGTGAAAACTATTAAGAGTGAAGTGACAACCTGCAGAATGAGAGAAAATATTTGCAGTCTATTTGTCTGGGAAGGGGTTAATATCTAGAATGTATGAGGAATTTAACACAATTCAGCAGAAAAAAAATTTTAAATGGGCAAAAGATGTTTTCTTTTGACATTTCTCAAAAGAAGACATATTTGAGAAATGTCAAAAGAAAACATACAAATAGCCAACAGATTTATGGAAAATATTCAACATCAGTAATCATCAGGGAAATGCAAATCAAAACCACTGTGAGATACCACTCACTCCAATTAGAATGGCTCCTATTGATAAAACAAAAGAAAACAAGTGTTGGCAAGGATGTGAAGAAAAGGAAACTCTTACACATTGTTAGTGGGATTGTAAACTAGTAAAGCTGTTACGGAAAACAGTATGAAGATTCCTCAATAAATTAAAAATAGTACTACTATATAATCCCACAATTCCACTACTGGGTATATATCCAAAGGAAATGAAATCAGTATGTCAAAGAGATATCTGCACTCCCATGTTGATCGCAGCAGTAGTTACAATAGCCAAGACATGGAATCAACTTAAGTGCTCAACAGTGAATGAAAGGATAAATAAAATGTGGGACTTATACACAATGGAATACTATTCAGCCATAAAAAAAGAAGGAAATCTGATCATTTGCAACAACTTAAATGAACCTGGAGGGCATCATGTTAAGTGAAATAAGCCAGACGAAGAAAGACAGATACCATATGATCTCACTCATATGTGGAATCGAAAACAAACAAAAAGGTCGCTACCACAGAAGTAGGGAGTAGAACATGGTTACCAGAGACTAGGGTGGAGACAAGAGAGGGAAACGGGGAGAGGTTCATCAACAGGTACGAAGTTGCAGTTGGGAGGAATAAATTATGATGTTTGTGTGCACAGCCAGGTGATGGTGGTTAATAGTAAGGTATTGTATATTACAACACAGCTGGAAGGGAGGCATTTGAATGTTCTCACCACCAAGGAATGATAAATACATGAGATGCTGGATATACTAGATACCCTGATTGAATCATTATACAACACAGATGTGTATCAAAACATCAAATTCTATCCCATAAGTATGTACAATTATGTCAATTAAAATTCATTAATTTTGAAAGATTTTTTTATAGAACTTGACAAAGTGATCCTAAAATTCATATGCAAGCATACATTTCAAGCAACTTAAAATAGAAAAGCAAAGAGTTTTGTTTTTAAAAATTTACTCTACCAAATATGAAAGAACAAGGTTGGTATTTACAACAGTGAGTGAGTCATAGTGTGGACATAGACACCTGTATCAGTGAAACAACAGAAGCTCCAGAAAGAGGCTGTTTGTATGTGTGACCTGGGTCCATATAGAAGCAGCCTCCCAGACCAGTAAGGAAAGGACAGGCCATTCAATAGAAAGTGCTGAGAAAACTGGTACCCATGTGGGAAACATTCTATTTCTACCTCACACCATAGACATAAATAAATTCCGGATATATGTAATGAAAAATGAAATTTTTAAAAATGGAGCTCTAAGATTATCTTATTTAAATGTAAGATACAATATTTTTCATATTTACACGTAGAAGACGGTGTTTAAAAAAGACTTCAAAGCAAAATTCATATAATAAACATATTGATAACACTGGTTATGTAAAATTTAGATTTTTGCATGACATTAAGATATAAAAAACTAAGCTAAAAATAAGAACAAATGGCCAGGCGCAATGGCTCACGCCTGTAATCCCAGAACTTTGGGAGGCCGAGGCAGGTGGATCACGAGGTCAGGAGATCGAGACCATCCTGGCTAACACAGTGAAACCCCGTCTCTACTAAAAATACAAAAAATTAGCCGGGCGTGGTAGCAGGTGCCTGTGGTCCCAGCTACTTGGGAGGCTGAGGCAGGAGAATGGAGTGAACCTGGGAGTTGGAGCTTGCAGTGAGCCGAGATCACGCCACTGCACTCCAGCCTGGGCAACAGAGCAAGACTCCGTCTCAAAATAAATAAATAAATAAATAAATAAATAAATAAATAAATAAGAACAAACTGGAAAAAATGTCATTGCTATCCAGGCAAAGATGAGTGATCCAAAACATATAAAGGGATCCTGCACACGCCCAAGAGACAAATAGCCTAGCAGAAAATGGGCAAAGATCTGAGTAGCAAACTGCATAAGAAGAAATAGGAACGGCCAATAAACATCCAAACAGGGGCTCACTGTCATTGGCAATCAGAGAGCTGCAAAGTAAAACAACGATTACACGACACTTTTCATCTGATTGTAGAAATGACATTGTTACAATATGAGATGGGAAGATATTAGGATGGGAAGACACTAGAATACCTGATTCTTTTAGACATCGCCGATGGGGCAAACGGGCAAAGGTTGCCTGGAGCTACCTATTAAAATTTTGAACTCACATACACTGACCCAGCAATTCCATTTCTAGGAATATTGCCGGAAGCTCTCACACACCACCAGGAGGACAATGCCATTCATCACAGCATGGCTGATGGTAGGGAAAATACTCATTGTTAGAGGAGTGGACGGACAAAATGTGGGACAACCCCTTTGGGAAGTTACATGGCATTATCTTAAAAGTGGACAGTACACTTCCAAGTCAACTCCCAGCCATCCAGCCTACAGAAACTCTCAGATAAGAGTTCCAGGGATCCTATATGAAAATGTTCCCAATAGCATTGTTTATTAAAAACAACAAAACAAAGAAAACCCAAATGCCCATCCACAGGAGAGAGGAGCAATACACTGTGCATATTGTATACAACACACTATGATGTGTGCATGACGGAATGTCAGACAACAGAGGCAATCAGGGCTCAGCAGTTGTGTCATAGCATGAATGTCCCCAGGAAATTCAGCATGATGCCAGGTAAAGAAGGCAACATGCAGAAGCCCTCAGAGAGCACAGTATCATTTTATAAGTTACCATTGAGACCAGCCCAAATTAAACAATCGATTGTTTAAGGCAAGACTTATGGTATAAATCCATAAAAACAAAGCAAGGGATTAGACCCCAACATTCTGGGAGTGGTTACCTCTTGGGAAGCAGCCTGGGGTGTGAGCCTGGGGCAGGGGTCTGGGGAGATTCCGGTGTCACCTCAATGTCCTGTGTGACATCTGTGCCTCACACTGTTAAAGGATCCCTGGGGTGTCACTTTGCCAGCCAGAAACCTCTGCGGCCACTGGTGCATTTGCCTGAGTTTTGCTCTGGCCCGCTGGGTTTGTTCTGCCCACTTAGCCTGGCAGGCTGTGTTCAGCTCCCACTACCAGCCTGGATCTCACACCTGCCAAGGGCGAGCCAGGCATGGAGCAGCAAGGGATGTGTGAGCAAGTGTGAGGTCCCACCATTGCGTGGTTAGGCATGCTGGCTCCCTGCAAGGCTACAGTTGGACCAGGTGTACCATAAGCAGCTTCCATGGCTGATACCAGGGAATCTGTTATGGCACCTAGAAGCTTGGAGATGCCAGGAACTGCAGAGCCCTAAAAAAGGTGTCACAGCCCTGGCTCAGGGCACTTCTAGGTCTGAGCTATCTGAAGGGCTGCAGCTCTTCTCTCCTTCTGTCTTCCCTCCCTCTTGTCACCCACAATGTGGTGGGCAAAGGGCATGTTTTAGCCCTGTTTGTGTTACATCTTTCTTTTATATATATATATTCTTTTATCATACTTTAAGTTCTAGGGTACATGTGCACAATGTGCAGGTTTGTTACATATGTACACATGTGCCATGTTGGTGTGCTGCACCCATTAACTCCTCATTTACCTTAGGTATATCTCCTAATGCTATCCCTCCCCCCTCCCCCCTCCCCCCACCCCACAACAGGCCCTGGTGTGTGATGTTCCCCTTCTTGTGTCCAAGTGTTCTCATTGTTCAATTCCCACCTATGAGTGAGAACATGCAGTGTTTGGTTTTTTGTCCTTGCGATAGTTTGCTGAGAATGATGGTTTCCAGCTTCATCCATGTCCCTACAAAGGACATGAACTCATCCTTTTTTGTGGCTGCATAGTATTCCATGGTGTATATGTGCCACATTTTCTTAATCCAGTCTATCATTGTTGGACATTTGGGTTGGTTCCAAGTAGTGCCACAATAAACATACGTGTGCATGTGTCTTTATAGCAGCATGATTTATATTTTTTTGGGTATATACCCAGTAATGGGATGGCTGGGTCAAATGGTATTTCTAGTTCTAGATCCCTGAGGAATCACCACACTGTCTTCCCCAATGGTTGAACTAGTTTACGGTCCCACCAACAGTGTAAAAGTGTTTCTATTTCTCCACATCCTCTCCAGCACCTGTTGTTTCCTGACTTTTTAATGATCGCCATTCTAACTGGTGTGAGATGATATCTCATTGTGGTTTTGATTTGCATTTCTCTGATGGCCAGTGATGATGAGCATTTTTTCTTGTGTCTGTTGGCTGCATAAATGTCTTCTTTTGAGAAGTGTCTGTTCATATCCTTTGCCCACTTTTTGATGGGGTCGTTTGTTTTTTTCTTGTAAATTTGTTTGAGTTCTTTGTAGATTCTGGATATTAGCCCTTTGTCAGATGGGTAGATTGCAAAAATTTTCTCCCATTCTGTAGGTTGCCTGTTCACTCTGATGGTAGTTTCTTTTGCTGTGCAGAAGCTCTTTAGTTTAATTAGATCCCATTTGTCAATTTTGGCTTTTGTTGCCATTGCTTTTGGTGTTTTAGACATGAAGTCCTTGCCCATACCTATGTCCTGAATGGTATTGCCTAGGTTTTCTTCTAGGGTTTTTATGGTTTTAGGTCTAACATTTAAGTCTTTAATCCATCTTGAATTAACTTTTCTATAAGGTGTAAGGAAGTGATCCAGTTTCAGCTTTCTACGTATGGCTAGCCAGTTTTCCCAGCACCATTTGTTAAATAGGGAATCCTTTCCCCATTTCTTGTTTTTGTCAGGTTTGTCAAAGATCAGATAGTTGTAGATGTGTGGTATTATTTCTGAGGGCTCTATTCTGTTCCATTGGTCTATATCTCTGTTTTGGTACCAGTACCATGCTGTTTTGGTTACTGTAGCCTTGTACTATAATTTGAAGTCAGGTAGCATGATGCCTCCAGCTTTATTCTTTTGGCTTAGGACTAAAATCTCCTTAAGCTGATAAGCAACTTCAGCAGTCTCAGGATACAAAATCAATGTGCAAAAATCACAAGCATTCTTATACACCAATAACAGACAAACAGAGAGTCAAATCATGAGTGAACTCCCTTTCACAATTGCTTCAAAGAGAATAAAATACCTAGGAATCCAACTTACAAGGGATGTGAAGGACCTCTTCAAGGAGAACTACAAACCACTGCTCAACGAAATAAAAGAGGACACAAACAAATGGAAGAACATTCCATGCTCATGGATAGGAAGAATCAATATCGTGAAAATGGCCATACTGCCCAAGGTAATTTATAGATTCAATGCTATCCCCATCAAGCTACCAATGACTTTCTTCACAGAATTGGAAAAAACTACTTTAAAGTTCATATGGAACCAAAAAAGAGCCCACATTGCCAAGTCAATTCTAAGCCAAAAGAACAAAGCTGTGTTATGTCTCTTTTAGCCCTCCTGTCCTGCTTCCAGGAAGAATGAGGTATGCAGAAAATCGGGGGATGAGCAGGATGAAGAGGAGCTTTATTGAGCAATAGAACAGCTCAGAGGAGACCTGCAGTGGGCAGCTCCTCTCTATAGCCAGAGTGTCCTGAGGAGTGTCCAGCTCTCAGCAGACAGAGCAGCTCCTCTCTGCAGCTGGTCATCCATCACCTCTTCAGCTCTCAGCAGAGAGGGTAGCCCCCTTCTACTAGGCAGGTCATCCTGATGAATGTCCAGTTCTCAGCAGAGAGGAGATGCTGGGGTGGGCGGCTTCTCTCCGCAGCTGGTCATCCTGTCATCTGGACTCTGGCTGAGTCTGGGGCTTTTAAGAGCCTCAGAGGGGAGGAAGTGAGTGCTGATTGGTTCGTGGGTGGCCAATGGTGGGCCAGAAAAGACACCACAAGTTCTCATTCCAGTTCATTGGACTGGCAACCTGGCCCCCAGGTTTTAGGTCCCCATCAACTTGAGGGTGGGGCTTCACCAGGGACCTACCCCCTTCTGCCCAGGATCCTGTCTGCTTTCTGCCACCATTCATGGTGCCCAGGCTGTTTGTGCCAAGGGGTGCATGTAGGTCAGTGCTGAGCTGCCCTCAGCACACTGTCAGTCTCCCTCCCATGCTCATTGGTGCCCAAAGTCCAGAGGGGGCCAAGGTGGCAGGGGGCTGGTGTGTCAGTGCTGCCCCAAGCATGCACACACCTAGCTGGGTTGTGACGGTGCCTAGGCTCAGTCTCAACTTTGCTCCATGATTGGAGCAGGTGTTGACAGCGGGAAGAGGCCAGGTAGTGGAACCAGACACCTCTGAGCCTGTGGGGGCAAAAGGGGGCCTTCTCAGGGTCCCTGAGAGTGCAGAGATGCCTGGGTCCACAGCCACAACTTGGGTATCTGCAGCCATACCTGGGAGGGTGAAGCTCCTTCCTGTTCCTGGCTCCCACTGGCTCTATGGAGCATGGCACCACCCTGGGCCCAGCTCCACCTCGGGGAGCACGGTTGAGGTTGTGGCTGAGGCTCTGGGCCTGGGAGTGGGTCCTGCCCTCACCACCACCACTGCTACTCCTGCAGCCACTCCTGCCACCACCGCTCGTGTCTCTCTGCTGCAGCTGGTGTGATGACAGCGGCCACTCCAGATGGCTCACTGTTGCCATCCACACCATCATCCATATAGGTGCATTTCATCCCAAACTATTTTAAAATATGGCAAGTTATACATTGAAACACATATGAACAAACTAGATTCATGAACATGGCTGAACCCTCAAGTTAGTTTTTAATTGAGGAAAGAAGCAAATTGTAGAATAACCCATATAACCTGGCATCATTTATGCAGCACATATGCACACAAAATAATTCTATATGTTTCCTAAGATGCAAACATGCTTTAAGAGGCCTGAGATGATATAATGAATAATGAATTCATAAGGTTGAATAGTGTTGGGAGTGGGGACAGAGTTTGCATGGGAGGGGCCTTGTTAAGAGGGGCTCTTGAGAGACCAGTTAAATTTCACCTTTTTTTTTTTTTTTTTTCCTGGAGACAGTCTCATTCTCTTGCCCAGCCTGGAAAGCAATGGCATGATCTCAGCTCACTGCAACCTCTGCCTCCCAGTTTCAACTGATTCTCTTGCCTCAGCCTCCCGTGTAGCTAGGATTACAGGCACGTGCCACCACGCTCAGCTAATTTTTTATATTTTTAGTAGTTTGTGGTTTCACCAATCAGGCTGGTCTCAAATTCCTAACCTCAAGTAATCCACCTGCCTGGAAGTTTTACCTTTTTAAAGTTAGATGAAGAGGAGGAGATGATGTGCAGCAAGATCAGGATAGGAGTTACTGAACACATTTAGAAAGACCATGTGGGGGATCACAACAAAAGTCCACGTGCACCCTACCCTTTCACTTGAACCTGAGCTGTGGAAGCCGTCCCCTGGCCAGCCGTTGGGTGTGGGCCACCACTGTTTCTTGGATTGGGGCAGCGGCTGCGTTCCAGGCCATCTTTATTGAGCCACCCCCCTAGTGCATCATCTCTGCTTCTCACTGCCATTAAAAAAAAACAAAAACAACAACAACAAAAAAAAAAACATTAGAATGAAAGCTTAGAGACACTTGCAGAATAACCTGAGTGTAGTTCTTCATCCTTACAATTGTTCTGCTGGCCTGTCTTTTACACACCTTTCCAGTACACAATTCAACTGCCTTTAGTAAGGCTTTCCAAAGAATGCAACTTGAGTTTCCCAAGAAATCGCTCTTTCAGCGCTCACCTTTCACCAGTGTGCGGATGTTAAAATTAAATGGCGCAGCAGACATGCAAGATAGCGGCTACCGCATGTTTTTTTTTTTTTTTCTGAGACGGAGTCCCACTCTATCTCCCAGGCTGGAGTGCAGTGGCGCGATCTCGGCTCACTGCAAGCTCCGCCTCCCGGGTTCACGCCATTCTCCTGCCTCAGCCTCCGGACTACAGGCTCCGGCCACCACGCCCGGCTAATTTTTTGTATTTTTAGTAAAGATGGGGTTTCACTGTGTTAGCCAGGATGGTCTCGATCTCCTGACCTCGTGATCCGCCCGCGTCGGCCTCCCAAAGTGCTGGGCGTGAGCCACCACCCCCAGCCATGATTTGCTTCTCTCTGCTGCCACCGTGTTCCCTGCCTCTTTAGAGACAGGGAAGGATCTTGCTCTGGAATTGGTACTCACGGGTCAAGCTCTGGGAATCCTTTGCACGTAGCCCTAGTCTTGGCAGTTGCTATCCCATGTGGGGTTCAGCACCCAGGCGGAGGGCTCAGCCTTTCTGCAGGCTGCCTGCACGCTCCCCTCGCCCTGTGAGCAGGCTCTGGCCACCAGGATGGCTCACGGGGATGCTGAAGACCCCTGGCCAGGGAATGTGGGTAAGGTCATCATCAGGAGTTGACGTGTTGGTGAAAAGAGGATGCTTTTGGTGCCGTTGTTTTCTCCTCCCTGCTCTGGTTCCAGACCACCTTGCTTCAGAGGCTTCTATTTGGTGACTCCTCCTATTTTTTTTCCTAGAAGACCATTATCCAGATGCAACTCCTGATGAATTTTGGTCCATGAGAGGCAGTTCTCACAGATTCGACTAGCTCAGAGGAGACGCTCTGAAATACTCTGCAGATGGCCACCTGTTTTCTGATGTCCTGAGTGCCCACATAGTGGACAGCGGCCATCGGAGTCTGACTCGGGCTCTACGGGGGGCCCACTGGCCTGCCATGACCAGCACTGTCACTTCCTCTGCGGTAGGGAGGGAAGGAGGGAGAGAAGGACTGGTCCTGCCATCTCCTTGGTGGGGTTGATGGTCCTGGCACCATGTCCCTCCCAGGGTGGAGGAGAACTCGATTTCCGAGCAACCAGCCTAGGCGTATGGTGTCTCTGCCCTTCCCTTCCCCAACCCACCTCCTCCCCCTCTTCCCCTTCTTCACAGGCACCCACACGCATGACCACAGATCTTAGCTGCCCCAAGCCACCTGGGAGCATGGCCTGCTCATTGCTGCCCCTCTGCCGGCCAGGGACAGCCATGGGTGGGGCAGACACTATGATACCCACAGCATCTTCATCTCCAGCTTCCCGGAAGGGCTGGGGTCTGTCCACTGCCTCCACCTCTGCTCATTTACTCTCTTCGCCCAGGGCCATCTCTCCCTGGACTTTCGTGTTGCCAACCCTCCCGGCTCTGCTCGATGGGGATGGCCTTTCTCGTTTGCTCCTCTGCTGCCATTGTCCCTGGCCCCATTCTCCATGTCCCCCGTGAGGCCCCTCACCTTCCTCTCTTCCTGACAAAGCTCTCAGCCATGTTCCTCCGGGAGCCTCCTCTCCAGGGGCTGCCACCAGCTGGATCCTCCCCGTGTGCCTGCTCCCAATCTGTGCCCTCTTCTGGGTGTGCTTACCTGGGTGTCCCTCAGCCCTGGAGCCCATGATCTGCTGTGGATTCCCCACTCTCTCCTCCGTGGCTGTACTAACTCGCCGTGGACCTGGGTGGAGCTGGTGACCCTCCGTACTCCCGCTTTCCTCGGAACTGGAAGAACTTCGATGAGGCTGGTGCCTTTCAGAGGGGCCAACTGCCCGGGCTGCTCCATCTTATTCTCTCCTCCCCAGTTTAACACCAAGGTCAATGCTCTGATGTTCCTCCTGTTGTAGCTAAAGGCAGAGAAAGCCACCCAGTAACTCTGGGATCCTCCCATCCCAGGCCAACCACAGGACACAGGGAATCTGTCCTGTACTAGCCTGAGGCTGTCTCCCCGGAGGAGAGCACTAGCAAGGGACTGCCAGGCTCCTGGGCACTGAGTGGCTGGTTTGCAGACGACCTTGACTTACAGCAGAGGCAGGGAGAGCAGCAGCAAATGTGTGGGGTTCCCCACTCACTCCTGCAGGCTCTCCTGGGTCCTGCCGGCCTCCCTGCCCTGGGCGTCTCAGGATGCCCCTGCCCCTGCCCCAGGGTAACACGAGGCCCCTTCCTTCCCTTTCCTTTGACGATCCTGTCCCGGAATCACAGGGGTGCTTCCCATCTGAGGCTCCCTGGCTTTGCACACACATGTCAGACTTGGTGATACCATATGCTAGTTATTTACCAAGTGTGCACCAAGCGTTACGCTTCTGTGATGAAAACAATGGAAAGCGAAGACCTTCCCTTCCCAGTGCATCTCACTGAACCGTGGGGTGCTAGTCTGGCCTCCTGGTTTTCCTTTCTCTGTCTTTTTTTTTTTTTTTTAATTTTTATGCTTGCTTGTCAGAGACCTGATTTCCTTTGACTTGCTTCTGATATGTTATTGCACACACTCTGAACTCCTGACCTCAAGTGATCCACCTGCGTCAGCCTCCCAAGATGCCGAGATTACAGGCATGAGCCACCGGGCCTGGCTGTACAGGAAAAAGGTTTAATGGACTTACTCTTCCACATGGCTGGGGAGGCCTCACAATCACGGTGAAAGGCAAGGAGGAGCAAATCATGTCTCACATGGATGGCAGCAGGCAAACAGAAAGAGCTTGTGCTCCCCTTTTCAAAATGATCAGATCTCATGAGACTTATTCACTCCCCTTTTTAAAACTATCAGATCTCATGAGACTTATTCACTGTCATGAGGACAGCATGGGAAAGACCCATCCCCATGACTCAATTACCTTCTACTGGGTCCCTCCCACAACATGTGGGAATTCAAGATGAGATTTGAGTGGGAACACAGCCAAACCATATCAGCAGGGCTCAAGAGATATTTGTTGAGTGAATAAATGACCTGGTTTGTGAATTTCCACAGTTACTTACTTCCCTATTCATTTTCTCAAATTGCAATATGGAGAATTCTCTGCTTCCCTCATGGGATGATAGTTTATATGTGACAGAGCTTTGTGCCTGGAGTGACTGTTTTCACTAAGGATAACCGAGCAGCCCGTGACCCCCCCAAGACCAGCCACGTCACCCTCACTGGGAGTTTGCAGAACAGCAGCGCCTCCCACCGAGGCCACCAGTCAGTATCTGCATCCGCTAATACCTGCAGGGAGGCGTGCACCACCCCCAGCCCAGAGGCTCCGTCTCGGAGGGAAAGTTCCCTTGAGGGAGCAGGGAGGCCTGCAGTCAGCATGTGAGCCCTCCGGGCTGTTCTGCAAAGCTGGCCAGGAGGGCTGGGCTCATGGGGCCAGGCCATTATCTCTCATCCCCCGGTTTACACTTTCCCCACATTCCTCCCAGCCCGGAAGGGTCAGCAGCTGGTTTCTTAGGGCCCCCAGGGGGCATGTGTCACAGAGCATGTGCAGAGCCTATTGTCAGCCGCAGCAGCCATCGAGGAGCCCTCCTCGCCCATTTCCTGTGGGCCATTGATCCTCTCATGGCCCTTTCCAGCTTTAGACCAGCTGGCTGCCATTCTAGGCACTTAGCGTGTGCGGAAAAATTTTATGTTTTCATGATATCAGCAGGAAAATAGGAAATGGCTTGGAAAACAGGGAGGCATAAAACAATGGTTTGAGGAGAGTGAGCCTTGGATAAACATCCCTGGTTGCCCTTTGGAATGTGTGGATTTAAACACACACTCAGGAATATATGCTCCGTGGTGTGAGAGATAAACATCCTGAAACTCATTAGGCCAGCAGCTCTGTTCTAGCAAACGCTGCTGAGGGACGCAAGAAGGGCTGGCCAGGGCCCAGCACAGGGTACCCTGCAGCTGCTTGGCCCTGCTTGTGAAGGCAGGGGACCTGCCATTGGCCTCAACAGCACAACCTGGCCCAGTCACCTAACAGGTGCAATGCTCCCCATGAGCTCTGCATGTACTGGGCCAGTGCTGGGAGCCCAGGTCCCTGCCAGGTGGGCTTGGGGTCTGGTGCCTGGGGAGGACGGTGGCTGGCTGCCAGAAGGGAGTTCACGTTGTGGTCTGCCTCTTTCTTGACCCATCTGCAGGCAGCCGGCTCAGGAGTCTGTGATTTTCTATAGGACAAGGAGATTTTATAGTTGGTTTTAAAGATACACTTACTCAAGGAATACAATACCTTGAAATTAGCCCTGAGGTGTTTGGCAGTGAGACTGAGGCATGGCCTGCACAGCTGGAGCTGAAGGTGACCTCAAGTGATTGATGTTTAATACTCCTAATAATAGCTTGCATGACTAAGTCTTAACCACACATCAGAGGCTAAGCTCTGCACACACTCTTGCATTTGACCATAGGTCAACCCTAAGTAGTGAGGACAAGCATTGCAACCATTTCACTTCTCAGATGAAGATGCGGGTGTAGGCCCAGGGAGCGGACGGTGCTGCTGGGGCCACAGGGACCAGAGCTGCAGGCTGAGCTCCCATAAGAATGGGGGCCTTGCTTCCCAGGGCTCTTTCTGTCATTGAGCCGCCTCTGCCATGGGGTGAGTGCCAGTGGTCAATGCCAGGCCAATGGGCTTGAGGGGCATCTCATCCAGTCTGAGAGCTGCAGGCTGAGTGCCACGCCCCCACTTGGAAGCACACTCCCTGGCCCTGCTGGAGATGGGTGGACAGTCCATGTCTGGGAGGCAGTCTCTGCTGGCACGTCTGGGGCTCCTTCCTTCTTGAAGGCTGCTGCAGCAGGCACAGCCCTCAGCTGCTCTTAGCCCACGCTGTCTACCTAGTGGTCTCAGGTACACCTGCCCTCGCACTCTCCACCTCCCTCCCCCAATTCGCAGACGTGAACAGCGTGGGAAAATATTTCTCAGTAATAATAAAAAATGGTACTTTGTTAAAGTTTACAGCGGCTTGCAGTCATGGGTTTGTAATCTCTCTTGTCCATTCTAAAAGTAGGTAGGTGGCTTTCAACAGACTCCCCTTCTCCCCATTAATGTTTTGTTCTGCTGAAGAAGCTTGGAATTAAAGGAGCTCCGTGTGTGGCTATGCCGAGACAGAGTTTGAGCCTTCTGCAGGCTGGACCCAGGCCTGCAGGCTCTTTTTTCCTAGAAGTGAAGGATGATGGAGTCCCAGATCTTAGAAAAGGACAGAAGAGAATGGATTTAGAAAAGGAAAGAGGAAAGTGTGGAAATATATTTTTAAAATGAAGTTTGGATGGGGGAGAGCTTCTGCTTTGCAAAATTTTCACCCTGGAAGGTTGAAACCTTTTTGTGGCCCGTGGGTTCCGTCCCCACCGCACCCCCGGAGGCTTGACAGCCGTCTCAGGACAAAGATCCCTGCCTCGCAAAGCTGCTCCAGTCCGGGAGATCTTGGCTTGCTGTTACTTCTCGTGGAAACCCAAAATAGCTCTTGGTGATCGTTGCCCGTTTTCTCCACTTCCCTTTGGACTCACGGCAGTCAAAGCACTAACGATTTTCAAATATTTGAAGATGCTCAAAGCTCGAGTCTCTTTCCCAGCATGGGTGTCCTCAGTTCTCCCGTCTGGCCCGCCTACAGCAGAGCTTCCGCACCCCTCCATTTCCCTTCCCAGGGTCCCCTCTGGGAAAGGGATGGTGGCAGCCACCGCTGGCCCCGGAACTCTTGGCTGTGCCCAGGGCCCCCTCTGGGAAAGGGATGGTGGCAGCCACCGCTGGCCCCGGAACTCTTGGCTGTGCCCAGGGCCCCCTCTGGGAAAGGGATGGTGGCAGCCACCGCTGGCCCCAGAACTCTCGGCTGTGCTGGGCCGCACTTCCAGCACGCTCTGCTGCCAGGGACCTGGGTGGCTGAGTTCTGGCCCAGAGAGTGTGAGGGAGCGACTCAGGATTCCTCCGCACCCGGCCCCGGAAGGCCCTCCCAGGTTCCTTCTCTGGGATGTCTGCTCTTCCGGCGATTAGGATGGTGGCCCAGGGTGCTTTTGGAAGCTCTGAGTTCCAGATGGCCACCCTTGATGGCAGGTCCTGAGTGACCACATGCAGCTGACCCCTTCCCTGCCCAGGTCTGGCCCGCCCTCGTGGTGAGGGGTGGGGAATGACCCTCCGTCCTGTGGCCCTTCCATGCTTGAGGGGTGGGGATGACCCTCCGTCCTGTGGCCCTTCCATGCTTGGCTCTATCTGTTGTCACAGCACCTCACGCCCCCTGCAGACACGTGTGCTCCGAATAACACAGTGAAGTGGCCTGGAGCAGCAGAGGCGAGTGCTTCTGTGCCACCCGCCAAGACCTCCATCCCTGCTGGAAGCCCAGGGGTTGTCTGGCCTCTCATTATCCCCAGGAAACACACCCTGCGGTGCCATTCACAGTTCGGTGTCCTCATAGCAGTGTTGGCTCTTGCAGAATCAACTCGAAGACCTCAAGTTTCTCTCTCCCAGATTCATCTGATGAGCAGGACCACCAGGACCTGGAGACTCCCCAGCTGTGGCCTCTTCCTGTGCTCCGGGCCCTGCAGCCACAGCTTGTGTTAGATTAGAACACATTGCCATGTGCCCATGGAGAGATTCAAATTATTTTTCAAAACGAGCTGGAGATCGGTGCGGGAACCCATGTGGCTGGTGGCTCTGGGGGAGCTCAGGGCCAGTCAGCAGTGCAGGGCACGGGCTCTCGGGAGAAGCAGTGAGCTCTGGCTCTGGGATACACCTCTTTCCCTAGAGGATTACACTTCTGATGGCTGGGTTTTATCCGGCATGAAAAGGAAGAGTTTTTCCCTGAAGGAGAAGGTAGCCA
Organism: Homo sapiens; assembly: GCF_000001405.40. Taxonomy (NCBI): domain Eukaryota; kingdom Metazoa; phylum Chordata; class Mammalia; order Primates; family Hominidae; genus Homo; species Homo sapiens. The sequence goes on along the minus strand of NW_011332689.1, from coordinate 131,232 downwards.
GGAGACTGCCAATTGCAAGAAAGCAAAATAATAAACCTCCGTCCCTCTCCCTTCACCTCATATGACATTTGTCCAATTTTATGGCCAGTGGTTCGGGCCGTCTTTTATTTTCCATTAAATGAAAATGAGAATTGTTCCAAGTGATGAATTATCTGGGCAGTCCTGCCAGAAATGAAGCATGCTCAGGTTGTTAAGTAAAATAAACTACGCGGACGTCCTTGCACAGGGATTCTCACGAGCGCGTCCTCTTTCTACCTGGTCCGGTTTTCCCACGGGAGCAGGAAAACACCTCCTGGAGACAGGGAGGGCATGGAGGGTGGCCCGGGGCCCCAGGGTGGTGGGAGCCTCACTGGGATTTTTGATTCCTTGTGGAAAGCTGGGAGCCGAACCCATTTCAACTTTCCCAGGCCTGGCCCAGCCCTTGCCCAAATCCTGTCGCTTAGTCACCCTCAGGAGCAAACCTCCGCCGCGCCACAAGCCCAGGGACGCACAGGGAGACACAGGCCCAAAGTGGGGTGGGGGAGACCAGCACAGGCATGAAGAATAGGAACCGTGCAATGGGAAAAGGAAAAGACGGTTTCCCCAGGAGTCCTGGGTTCCAGGAGGCACTTAGAAAGCCCCTCTCAGGGGTCCCCATATCTCCCTTCACGAAGATAAAGCTGTCTCAGACATGCAATCCGGGGACGGTTGTCCAAGGCCGTGCAGCCTGTGGCAGGGAGCTGCTGGGGGTGGTGCCTCCGCTCTGCCCGATGACAGAGGAGACAGAGCCCATGGCCTAATCCCGGTCTCCTCTACCCCACATGGGGAAGAACCTCCTTGAGGTTCCTCAGGAAACTCAGCAGGTCTCAAGTGGGTGGGTCCTTACAGGCCAAGGACTGGGGCAGGGGGAGGCAGAGACGCCAAGTGGGCCCGGGAGCTCTTGGTGCATCTCAGTTCCCTTTGTCTTCAGGATTCGACCTTCACATCATCCCGGAGCCTTTCCTGAAGGACCTAGCTAATGTGGCACCCCTCTGATTGCCTCTTGCCACCCCCAGTTTTACATTCCTTCCTAACCTGCATCACTGTTGGAGGATGAGTTCCAGGTTTTCCTCGCTGCTGTCTCCTCCCTCCCTGCATGGAATGCAGGATGGGGTTTTGTTCACTCGCGCACTTTTGTGCCTGGCACATTGCCCGGCTGTAGTCGGTGCTCAGTAGGTAACCACTGAGTGCACGGAGAGAGGAAGGACGGGCTCTGAAGCTTGCCTCTCCCCAGGAACAACTCCTGCTTATTCTTGATCTCTGACTATCAGGCTTTCCCGGGGAGCCCCACCCTTGTTATGGGACAGAAAACAGGGTCGATCACACCCCGGACCCCAGGTCACTGCCTCCAGCAACCTCTTCTGCTTTTATTTCTATTTTAAAAACCTAAAGCAGTGTTCTTGAGGTCTGAGTACATCCAGTAGGTTCGACATGGCTTTGGTGGAAGATTCCACGAGTACGTCACCATTCCATGGAAGACTAGAATGTTCTCAGCCTCCAGACTTGCCGTTCTGCCGCTTCATCCGCAGCCCACTGCTGGTCAGTTCACCCCTTGCGGTGAGTTTTGGAGGCTCTAGGACTTCGCAGTCTTGAGATTCTACGGCTTGTCATCTGGTGTCCGGCCTCTTGCTCAACATGTTTTCTGAGATTCATCTACATTGTGTGTATCGGTAATCCGTAATCTGTTCTTTGTTCTGTTTTGTTTTTTTGGAGATGGAGTCTCACTTTTGTCGCCCAAGCTGGAGAGCAGTGGTGCGATCTTGGCTCACTGCAACCTCCACCTCCCGGGTTCAAGCGATTCTCCTGCCTCATCCTCCTGAGTAGCTGGGATTACAGGTGCCCGCCACCACACCCAGCTAATTTTTGTATTTTTAGTAGAGATGGGGTTTCACCACATTGGCCAGGCTGGTCTTGAACTCCTGACCTCAGGTGATCCGCCCGCCTTGGCCTCCCAAAGTGCTGGGATTACAGGCGTGAGCCACCGCACCTGGCCTAATCTGTTCTTTTTTGTTGCCGAGTAGAATTCCTTGTGTAAATACATTGCAGTTTAATTGTTCATTTGGATAAACAGTGTTATAAGGACATTTGGATTGCTTCCAATTTGGGGTTCCTATGAACAAGGCTGTTGTGAGCATTCATGGACGTGTCCTTGCATGGATGTATGTGCTCATTTCTCACGGGAAAAATGCCTTGGAGTGGAGAAGTTGGTTCACAGCTGTGTGAGTGCCCTGGGGCTGCCATAACCAAGTCCCACCCACTGGGTGCTTTAAGCTACAGCAGTGTGCTGGGTCATGGTGCTGGAGGCCTGAAGCCACAGTCACAGTATCGGTAGGGCTGTGCCTTCTGAGGCTGGGAGGCAGCCGCAGCTCCAGGCCTCTCTCCAGCCTCTGGGGTTTGCCGGCAGCCTTGGTGTTCATGGGCTAGCAGAAGCACCACCTTGATCTGCGCCTTCACCTTCACGTGCCCTTCTCCCCATTTGCTTGTGTCCAAATGTCCCCCTTTTAGGAGGACTCCAGCCCGCCATGCTCCAGCATGACCTTATCTTAACTAGTAACACTGGCAATGACCCCATTTCCAAATCAGATCATGTTCTGAGGGGCAGAAGGTTAGGACTCCAACACATGAGTTTTGGTGGGACACAACTCGACTCTCAGCACTGGGTAGGTGGATTTGACCTTGATGGAACGCTGACAGCCGGGGCTATGAGTGGCCTTTCTTGGTTTTGAGGCTCCCCATGTCTGAGCGTGCCAGCCTTTCCTCCACCTGTTGCCATCTGTGGAGTTCCTGACCACCTCCCCCAGGTCCCCTCCCCACAGGCCCCAGGAACTTTGGAGCCTGGCTCACTAAATTTTCCACCCAAGTCCAGACACCACTGCAGATGACTTTGAAGCCCAAGAGGGTGGCACATGCATCATCCTAGCCCCAGGCCCCTTAGCTTTCTTCAAATGTGGACTCATCGTTACCCAAGCAAACATCCTCATGGCCGTGGCCAGATCTTGGCATTCCCCAGGACTTTTCATCTCTCGAATCTTCATCCCCACTGTCTGCTCCGCACCTTCCCAACCCTCCCCTCTGACAGCGGCTCCATCATTTGATTAAGAGGTCAACTTCCGCATGCCCCAGACTCTGACTGGCTCCCCCAACTGGCAGATCCAGGAACCGCTGCAGCCAAGGGCTCGAGAGACGCTGTCAGTCGTTTCCCTCTTTCTTTTTCTCTCTGTCTTCCTCCCTTCTCTCCATCTCAATTTGGATTGGCTTTCGTGTCAGTCCATTTTTGCATCGTATAAAGAAATCCCTGAGACTGGATAATTTATGAAGAAAAGAGGTTTAATTGGCTCACAATTCTGCAGACTGTACAGGAAGCATGGTATGGGTATCTGCCTCTGGTGAGGGCCCAGGAAGCTTCCAATCATGGCAGAAGGTGGAAGGGAGCAGGTACATCATGTGGCAAGAGCCAGAGCCAGAAGGAAGGGGGAGGCACCACACTCTTAAACAACCAGATCTTGCAGGAAAAAACTGAGGGAGAGCTCACTCATCACCAAGAGGACGGCGCTAAACCATTCATGAGAGATCCACGCCCATGATCCAGTCACCTCCCTCCAGGCTCCACCTCCCACACTGGGGATCACATTTCAATGTGAGATTTGCAGAGAAAAAACATCCAAACCACATCAGCTTTGTTCTTAAACAGGTGTCTCCACCTGGCTGTCATGGTGAGTACTGGACTGTTTCATGTCCAGATTCTTGTGGCTTGTGGTCTAGAAGGAAGAAAGTCCTCCTTGCAGAGTCCAAATATTAAATCTTGTTGAAGGACTGTGGTGGGCTGTGCTCGACAGACACACATTGGATTCCCCATAGGGGATGGTGTGGCATGAGCAGCCCACCTGAGCCGGCGGGGGGCTGAACCCCACGACTGCAGGGCCCTCCGCAGTGAGGCTGTTCGGACTCTGCCATTTTGACTCAGTGGGCATTTTCACCCTGAGAGCTCTTGACTCCAAGTTCATGACCCATCACGTTAATCAGAATTAAAACAACTGTTGACATTTGTCAAGGAAGCGTTTTCTGAAGCAAATTCCATGAACCCAGTTTAGTTTTTGGGTCAATTTTCTAACAGCAGTTAACCAAATTGTTTCCATTTTTATTTTTCGGTGATAACTTGACTCATCCTTTCTTTTTGTGGGCTTTTTGTTTTTTTTTCCTTACTCGAGTCTAATTTCAAAAAGTGAATCTTCTGCTCTAATGAGTCTTCTTTTTGTGGCCATTACTTCTACAAAGCCAAATTTCTCGAATAATTTGCACAGCTCTAAATTTAAAAAAAATTCTTCTTCTTCTGTCAATACAAATTTTAAATTTAACATCTGTATTTTTACATACTGTCAGTTGCATTTTCCACTGATAATTTCTAATTTCCCCAGTTCAATTTTTATAGTTTTCAATGTTAACAATGACTGATTGTTCAATTTTTAATCTAAAACAACTTTTGCTGTATGCTTCAGTTTTATAGCTTTTTAAATCTATAATAACTTTTGCTTCAGTTATTGTTGGCTTTATTTTGTGTTATGTCTGCTGTAATATTAATTTTGAATTGAAAAAAATGTGTTTGTATTTCTTAGGTAATCCTGAGCCATTACTCTTGATAATTGCTCTTGTCCACAGCTGGTCCACTTTATGGCTCATCAGGCTCTTTCATAAGTTTCTAACAGCTCTACGAACTCTCAGTAACCATCTGCTCTGTGGCAAATGGGCAAAGTATCTGCCATGGAGTCAAAACACCTCCGGGTAAATGTGGCAAGGTCAAAGGAACTTCTTTGATTCATCCAGAGCCACGTCCAGCAGATAGGGTAGTGGCCATTCCCTAGGAGAAGCTGGGTACTGCTCCTACAACAAGGGCGAAGGAAAATCATGCTTGGACCTAAGAAGGCTTTGCAAGGTCTTGCCTATCCACTTCTTAAGATCTCTCCTTCCCCCAGTCTTTATCCTGCCTGTTGCCCATAGCACACCTCCGTATCCCATGTCTCACTTTGGGATATGAACCTCAGTTAGCCCCCTCCCCAGGGTACTTATGCAGGGGCTTGGGAAATTACCAATGGAGGACCAGCCCAACACTCCCTTCTCTACTAGTACCCAACACCCACCTCCCCTCCCAAATCCAATGCTCTTCTTCCCTCCCATACCTAGCACTCCCTCTCACCTGTATTAGTCCATTCTCCCACTGCTATTAAGGAATACTTGAGACTGGGTAATTTATAAGGAAAGAGGTTTAATTGGCTCAGGGTTCTGCAGGCTGCACAGGAAGCATGGCGGCATGTTCTCAGCTTCAATCATGGTGGAAGGTGAAGGGGAAGCCTGCACTTCACATGGCCGGAGAGGGAGGAAGGGAGAGACGGGGAGGTACCACACACTTTTAAACAGCCAGATCTTGTGAGGACTCACTCACTGTCATGAGAACAGCACCCAGGGGGAACTCCACCCCCATGATCCAATCACCTCCCACCAGGCCCCACCTCCAACACTGGGGATTACAATTCTACATGAGGTTTGGGCAGACACACAGATCGAAACCATATCACCAACCATACCCAACGCTCCTTCTCTGCTAGTACCCCATGCTTCCCTTTTTGACTCATGCTTCAGACTGCCGCCCACTGCCAGAGAAAATGCAAACGCAACTGGCTGGGCCCCCAGGGAACAGGGAACGCAATCCTGGCTGCAGCCCTTGGCTGCACAGGACACCCTGTCTGCGCCTCTGGATGCTCTACAGTGACTCAGTTTCCCTCTCTGTGCACCCCACCTGCCCCTCACTCTCAGCTGATGCCCTGGCTCCCTGCTTCTCTGAGCAGACAGGGACCGTCCCTCAAATCCCTTCTTGCCTTCCTGCAACCCCCGACAGCCGAACTTGCATCCACGCTTTATCTTCTCCCCTGGTGCCCCAACGCCCTACGTATGGTTTATTAAGAACCGTTCCCCAGTGATGATCTCTCCCTCTTTGTTGTCTTCAGTCTTCTCTGTGCAAGGGGCACGGCACCCCTAAGGCACCCTTGAGTCCTGTTATCCGGGGACATCTCAGGCTCTCTCTCCAAAGCCCTGAGATCTGTTGTCCTGCCTCCTCCCTGTGCCGTGTGACTGCTGTCCTCTTGCACTCTCCTGGGCCTGCCACCTGCAGGGATCCTTGTCTTCCTGAGCCACCCCTTCCCTACCAGCATGGTGGCTTTTCTGCCTCTGCTCTCAGCCCTCTGCCTTCCAGCCAGAGCCCCCCTTTCCCATTGCCAGCTTAGACCCCAGCTGTTCTCCTGAGGTAGGGCCCTTCCTTGCCCAGGAAGGAGCCCAATTCCAGTATCTTCTCTTTGTCCTGGAGTCCCGTGGTCTTAGCCTCGGTCTTACCTGCTCCTGCCTGGGGCTGATGCTCCCATTAGGCTGCAGGTTCATGAGGGGTGAAATGGAGCAGTGTGGGATGTTTCTTGACCTTGGGAAAGTTGGGGAGGCAGAAAGCGGTGGGTCCATCTGCTCCAGCTGGCTGGGAAGCCTGCTGTTTGAATATGACCTGGTATATTCTAGACGTGGAGGCGTCAGATGGCCAGAGCTCCAGGACTACTCCACAGACACTCCTGTGCTGGTGGATGGCAGAAAGCCGGGGCTGGGCAGATCCGTGCTGCCTCCTTGGGCCCAGTGTCCACTCCTCTGGAGAAGCACTTGGGCTTCAGTGTCAAAGGCACAGATCCACACAGCAGCCCTGCAGCTCACCAGCTCTGAGAGCAGGCGCCATGTCCTTCCCTTCTGCACGGGGTGATAACAGCCTGGCCCTGTGACAGCTGGGTGATGTGGTGCTGAGGACTGTTTCACATAGAAGCTGGCAGGCTCCCTCCCAGTGCGTTACAGTGGAATCACTTATTTTTCCTGGGTCCCTGCGTGTTTTCTTCCTCCTGAGCACAGCATGCTATTGTGCCTGTCTGTGCTGTCAGAGTCACCGCCTGAAGTTAATGATGGTGGTCACAAAGTGTCACAACTGTCCTTGGCTTCCCTTGCCCTCATCCGAAGCAGCTCTGGCCCCAGCGGTGTCCTGGCCTTGGCTGGGATGACCCCTGTCTTGCCTTCCCTCCAATCTCTGCCTGGGAACTCTCCGCCCCGCCCTTGCCCCCACGTGGCCTTTCTAAGGTGACGCCATCAGACCTCTGCTTCCTCCCCCTCTCCTCTTTCTTGGGATCACAGCAGAATCCACCCATCTGTCCTTGGAAGCCCTGCCTGACACTGAGGCTGTTTGTCTGGATGACCTCCCAGCATCCATCTCTCTGATTTTGGCCACCTGCTCCTGATTCCCTGGGAGGTGGGTCTGATTTTCCCTCTTCTGTCATGGCCAGGATCAAATGCCCACTGTGTGCTCAGTGCTGGTGGCAGAGAGCTGAAGCCCCTGAGTTCCTACTCTCAAGGCATAAATGATCTAGAAAACAAGGATGTGGGTCATTTCAACACAGGGGACAGAGATTTCCAAAGGTGCAGTCATGAAACTGGACTGGAAATGCCATGGGGGGCTTCCCAGGAGAGGTGATACCCCCGCTAAATTGAGAGGAAGGGCAAAGTGCCCAAATCGAAGCACGGGGAGAAGGGGCTGAGGCCACAGGAACGGAGGTGCCAGCAAAGGCCCAAGCACTTGCAGCACGGATACGCACAGATCAGTGCGAGCTGGACGGGCACCTGCGTGGGGATGAGAGGAAGGGAGAGGGCACTGTCCCGATCCTTGGGCCAGGAGCGCCAGGCATCCCAGCTTTGACATGGCTCCTCTCCAGAAAAATCATCAGATACCAGATAAGGCAGAGGACGTGTGTGGGCGGCTGCATGGATGACTTCACACAGGCGGTTTGATGCTGCTGCTGATTGGATCGTGTTCCTGCTGCTACTTTCTGGAGTGGAACTCGAGGGAGAAGTTCTTTAAACAACCTGTTTCTGAGGTTCAAAAAGAGGCTCTGACACTCGGCCACTGTCCCCAGACAGAGCCTCTCCTCCTTTCCCTCCAGGTTCCTGGAAGACGGCCCCCTCTCCTCCAAGCACATCTGTCTCTTGGACTCTGAATTCCACCCCTTTGCCCCTGCAGACCCTGGGCACCCCTGCCTGGCACTGCTGAAGGACCACTCCCTCCCTGGGGACTCCCACCAGACCTGGGCGGTGGCTTCACCAGCCAACATGGAAGGGGCTCAGGGCAAATTGTCCTTGTTTGCAGATGAAGAAACAGAGCCTTGGTGTGCAAGACCAGAGTCCAGCCACAGAAGCAGCTGTGCCCCCTCCACTCCTCATCTTGAGAGACACCTTCCTTACACAATGCTGGGTGACCCAGGAACCCACATATTCAAGACAGAGGCCCCATTTATGGCAGCCGATGGCCCTGGGCAGGGGTGGGCTGATGTCTGCTGGATACAGACTGTAGGGTGCACTGGTTGTCAATTCTGGAATGTCCTGGAGAGCTGTGACTGGGAGGTGACAGCATCACCCACCCCGCTGGACACTTGTTCCCTTATGGGAAAGTCACAGCCCCTCTCGGGTGACCTTCTGAGCTTTAAGGCCTTCCTGCAGGCAGCTGTGTCCTCTGCCGGGCCTCCCCCGAGGTCCCCTCAGTGCTCTCCCATCTCAAGGCCGCACACACGTTTCTGGAGGCCTGGGCTGTCCTTCCTGGAGGTGCTGGAAGGAAGCACTGACTGCTCACCGTGTTCTGTGCTGTTTGATGCCTCCTTGGCCAGGGTTCATGACTTATACCATGTGCCGGATACTGTGGTCAGTGCAGGGTGTGTCATCAGCTTGCAGAGCATGCCCTCGCTGGGATTTGAGGACCCATGGGGCCCCCTGAGCCGATCCCAGCACCTTACTGGAGCTGAAGTACTTTTTCTGATTGAATCGTCATCTCCAGAGGAGCCAGGGCCACGTCTCAAGGTGGCGGAGGCAAAGGACTGGCCCTTCCCACAGATGCATCCGCTGAGTGACGTGCCAGAAAAGCCTCCACCTCTGAGAAGGGGCAGCTCCCCTAGACTGAGCCTGGGGTTCCTGCCACAGGGGAGGAGCCCAGCCGGGCAGAACCCCCAGGGTTAGTCCTGAAGGGAATCAAGGATGGGGAGGAGGAACTGGTGGGGTTGGAGGGACAGCGAGAGTGTGGCTTGGTGGGGAACGGAGAAAGGATCTATGGAGATCTCTGCAGCATGGGTGCCCTCTGTTACACGTCCAACTTGGCCTGAACTCTGATTGCTACTGTTTGGGGGAACAATGGAGCTTTGTGTGGGCCATGATCGTAGCAACACTTCCCAGGATCCAGGGCAAAGCCAGGAGCTCCCTGCTCTTCCCATGGGGGGCCCAGCTTGCCTGCCCTGGATGGGCAGTGTGGGCATCCTGCGAGGAGCCCAGCTGCCCTGGATGGTTGTGAAGGTGCCTGAGGGCTGGGGGAAGCTGTAGGAGGGAGGCCAAGACCCAACAGTGGGCAGCAGATGCCGGGTGGGTAGAGAAAGGCCCTGGATACAGGAGGCAGAGGCCGGTGCTTGGTCTGAGGCGGGACAGGACGGGAAGGGAAGAGAAGGAGCTTTCACCCCTTAGGCAGGTTCCATGTTTTCATGTTCGCTGCAGCAGGCCAGAGCACCCCTGAGCGGACAGGGCTGGGGCCTCGGGCTAGGAGGGGCCAGCAAGGCTGGACATCATGCTTTTGCTTTGGTGCCATTTATGTGACTTTTTCATTAGCTTCATTTAGCCAACCAGGAGTAAAAGAGAAATCAGATGGCCAGATGCTCTCTGGGCTGGGTCCTGGCAGGAGGGATGTGATGAGAGGTCAAGGGCCCGAGGGATTTAGGGTTCAGGTCAGTGTGCTGGTGAATGATAGATGAGGTCCAGGTCAGCGTGCCAGTCAATGATCAGATGGGGCCCAGGTTAGCGTGCTGGCCAATGATCAGATGGGGCTCAGGTCAGCATGCCAGACAGTCATCAGATGGGGCCCAGATCAGCATGCCAGACAGTGATCAGATGGGGCTCAGGTCAGCATGCCGGACAGTGATCAGATGGGGCTCAGGTCAGCATGCCGGACAGTGATCAGATGGGGCTCAGGTCAGCATGCCGGACAGTGATCAGATGGGGCCCAGGTCAGCATGCCGGACAGTGATCAGATGGGGCTCAGGTCAGCATGCCAGACAGTGATCAGATGGGGCTCAGGTCAGCATGCCGGACAGTGATCAGATGGGGCCCAGGTCAGCATGCCGGACAGTGATCAGATGGGGCCCAGGTCAGCATGCCGGACAGTGATCAGATGGGGCTCAGGTCAGCATGCCGGACAGTGATCAGATGGGGCCCAGGTCAGCATGCCAGACAGTGATCAGATGGGGCTCAGGTCAGCATGCCGGTGAATGATCAGATGAGGTCCAGGCTAATAGCCAGGGCTGGGATCCCAGGAGGGCAGGGACAGAACCGTGGGCAGAAGCTTGGAGTTTCCCTTAAGAGGGACCTGGGCTGGTTGGCATCTAGTACAGTGGTCAGGATGAGGAAACACCCCACTCAAGGGTTTAGAACAGGAAATGCAGCATAGTACCTACCTAGTGATGAGAAAAATACCACAAAGGGGAAGAAAAAGACCAGGACAAGCCTATGAAGCTCTCTGATCCTGAGTCCATCAGCTCAGCCACCTCGGGCACCAGCTGGTGGTGACCAGCCACGGGGGCTTAGATGTCCCTGGGATGACGAGTCCCACATGGCCTGGACCCCATGCTGGCGATGTGGATGGCAGACACCCCTGAGTGCACTGACTCCACTTCTCACCAGCCAGATCTGGGGCTTGCTGTGAGACAGCTCTGGAGATCCAAGGCCCCCTTGGGCCTCTCCACTCCCCAGGACAGGGCTGACCCTTCTCAATGTCTGGCCTCACCCACCTCTTTACCTAGCATAAAAGCTTAAGCCAGTCACCAATCGCATCATATCCACATTAGTGGGACGGCAGGGCTCCTGAACACACGGCTTTAGTAGATTAGATATCCTCGTTGGTCAGTGGTGCTGGTCACCAAGGGACCTTCAGAAACCGGGGAGAAGCCATGGGAGTGCAGAGAGCCCGTGTGTGGTCCTGGCATCAGTGGGCACAGAGGCAGGCCCTGGGAAAGTTGCCTGGACTCCTGCGGAAGGTTCTGATCGTGCCCGTTCTCATGTCCCTGAAGCCGGCCCTCTTGGTGTCTTCAGTTCAATGTGACAAGTTGTTTAATGTGGCAAATGGAGGCCTTATCACCTCTAAGGGATGTTGGGTGCAGCATCTCTGTCTGCTTATCATCTGTCACATTGCTGCTAGGATATGCAATCTCTCTCTGTGGGGGTAGCCCGAGTTTTGCTGCTAATATTAATGGTGCATGACATGTGTGCATCTCCATTTCATCATGAAGCACTTCCTCAGAGGTGGTCTCGGTAGTCCTCCCAGGCCTCAGGCAAGACAAGTCTCATGCACTAGGTGCCTCGAGAATGCAAACATGCACATGTCTCAGTCCCCCCACAAGAATGTAAACATGCACACGTCCCAGTTCTCTCTCAAGAATGCAAACATAAATGCATCCCAGTCCTCCCTCGAGAATGCAAACATGCACGCGTCCCAGTTCCTCCCTCGAGAATGCAAACATGCACGCGTCCCAGTTCCTCCCTCGAGAATGCAAACATGCACGCGTCCCAGTTCCTCCCTCGAGAATGCAAACATGCACGCGTCCCAGTTCCTCCCTCGAGAATGCAAACATGCACGCGTCCCAGTTCCTCCCTCGAGAATGCAAACATGCACGCGTCCCAGTTCCTCCCTCGAGAATGCAAACATGCATGCGTCCCAGTTCCTCCCTCAAAAATGCAAACATGCACATGTCCCAGTTCCTCCCTCGAGAATGTAAACATGCATGCGTCCCAGTTCTCTCTCAAGAATGCAAACATAAATGCATCCCAGTCCCCCCTCGAGAATGTAAACATGCACGTGTCCCAGTTCCCCCTCGAGAATGCAAACATGCACGCATCCCAGTTCCTCCCTCGAGAATGTAAACATGCACACGTCCCAGTTCCCTCTCGAGAATGTAAACATGCATGTCCCAGTCCCCCCTCGAGAATGTAAACATGCACACGTCCCAGTTCCCTCTCGAGAATGTAAACATGCACGCATCCCAGTTCCCCCTCGAGAATGTAAACATGCATGTCCCAGTCCCCCCTCGAGAATGCAAACATGCACATGTCCCAGTCCCCCCTCGAGAATGTAAACATGCACGCGTCCAGTCCTCCCTCTGTGTGCTCCCTGCGCCCTCTCTGGTTGTTATTGTGTGATCCAGATCAGGGGTTGGCAGAGGATCACCTGGGGCTGAATCTGGCTGACTTTTTAAAATAAAGTTTTATTGGCACACAGTCCTCCCACCATTTGTATGTTGTCTGTGACTGCTTTCCCACTGCCCTGGAATCAGTGAGGTGAGTTGTCCCACCGACGCTGTGTTGCCCAGAAAGCCTAAAGTGTTTCCTGTCTGCCTCTTCACAGAAAATAAATGTCTCCCCTGATCCAGATAATGGAAAGGAAGAAGTTGTTTTGATTTGGGAGCGCAGCCCCCAATTGGCACCCCTCTGGGGAGTAGTAAATACTCAGCTCTTTGGATGTTGCCATGGTGGGGGTTGTCTGTCTGTGTTGTAAGGAAAGGCAGTGTTCAGACAGCACAAAACCAACCATTAGCACACGACTGTATTACAGTGCAAGGTTTGCCTCACACCATTCCAGAGCTGTTATTTTCTGGAGGGCCATGAGGCACTCCAGATGTATGTGGATTCTATTGTCTTCCTGATTTTATAGATGACAAAGCTGAGATTCAGAAAGGTGGTGGTGTTTGCTCATGGTAGCTTCCAGTCTAAGACTTGATTTAAAGCCAAGACTGTTGGCCACAACCAGCACCTCCCATGCCAGGAGGGAGGCCAGCTGCAGTGGACACGACTGTGCAGCGGACACGCTTGTGTAGCGGACACACCTGAGCCCACCACGCACCTGAGCTGACCCCTGACAGGGCTCCTTGAAAGCCTTCTGCCTGCCAGGCTGAGCCGCAGCCCGTGCCTGTGATTCTGCCTCCCGCGAGCCTGTGTGTGCATGGATGACGGCATTGGGTCCACGTCACGGAGCCGCAGGCAGACATGCGGGCTTCATGCACTTGTGGCCTCAGCTTGTGTGTGTGGAGATGTGCGCCTGATCGTGCTCTCGTGCTGAATTTTAAATTAGTTTAAAAAGATTGTTTTATTATAACTGAAAGTGGAAAATATACCTCTGGAATGATATCAGCTAAACCTTGCACAGTAATAAATCTGTGTGCTCATGGTTTGTTTTTGTGCTGTTTAGTCGTTATGGTGACAGGCTGCATTAACTAATACGTAAGTTTGTTTTGAGAATTTTAACACTGGCTTGCCAAATGTTCTCTTTCTGCTGCGATCTTAGGCCTTTACAGTTCTCATTGGTGAGGATCAGCTTGGATTTCAGGGCCCTTCATGGTCTGAAAATGGCCAGAGCCCCCTCAACAACCCTGACTGGCACGTCTGAGAGAGGTGCCTTGTGTAAACAAGTGTAAGAGTAATGACACTTCAGAGGCACTACAGGGGAAAATAAGCAGCAAGACTCTCTCAGCCTTTGTGGAACACGTTTCCACACAGGAGCTGGGTTGTGATGGCCAGCAGGGAAGGCAGCCATCTCTCCCCGGTGGCCAGACAAGGGCTCTCGTGGACGGGGCACTGGTCCCAGTGGGGAGCAAACCTGACTGGGCCTTCCCCTGTCACCATCAACTGCTCAGGCAGGGCCAGAAAGACAGAAGAACTGCTGAGACACGGGGGCAGGGTGGCGGGGGTCCAGGCCGGGCGGGCAGCCTCTTGCCTGAGAGAGGGAGATAACAGTGAGGTCAGACGAGAAGGCCTGTGCTCCAGGTTTAGCCTAGGAGTCTCCAAACAGAGCACTGCCTCACAGCGAGGCAGCGTGGGGAAAAGGATGGGAAATGGGGGTGAATCAGAGGCCTCTGCATTCGTGCCGGGCTGTTTAAAATGCTCTGGGCCTCAGCATGCCCGCTTTAAAAATGGAGGAAGTATGTGGGAATGTGGAAACAAGTGAACGATTAATACTGAATTCCAGGAACGGCTGTGCCAGGAAGGAAGCCAACCTGGGAAGGGGCAGCAGGGGAGAGATGACTGTTTAAAAAATTGGCCAAGGGCCAGTCCTGGTGGCTCACGCCTGTAATCCCAGCCCTTTGGGACGCTGAGGCGGACGGATCACAAGGTCAGGAGTTCGAGACCAGCCTGGCCGATATGGTGAAACCCCATCTCTACTAAAAACACAAAAATTAGCCAGGCGTGGTGGCAGGCACCTGTAATCCCAGCTACTTGGGAGCCTGAGACAGGAGAATCTCTTGAACCCAGGAGGCGGAGCTTACAGTGAGCTGAGATTGCATCACTGCACTCCAGCCTGGCCACAGAGTGAGACTCAGTCTCAAAAAAAAAAAAAAAAAAAAGTTGGCCAGGGAAAGCCTATGAGAAAGGGACTTCAGGCCAAGTCTGAGTGGCGCGTGCAGGACCGTGGACAGGGGTGGGGAGTGTGGGAGAGGCTGTGTTTAAAGGGCTCCCTCAGGGGCACAGGTTCAGAGAGGCACTCGGAAAGCAGGTGCCATCAGTGCCTGGGAAGGGTGCTCTGCGTGTGCCGGCGGCAGATCTGACGCCCTCCTCCTGGGAATGGCAGGGCTCCTCCAGCAGCTGAAGGCACCCGTCACCCGGGCCTGTGGGGATGATGTGTTGGCCTCAGCAGGGGCTCTGGGCAGCCCGGCCTTCCCTTGAGATATGCCTGAGCATGCAGCAGTGACGGTGGCCCCGGGCCCTGGACGGCCTGGAGACAATGTAGCAAGGCCAGGCCCAGGCAGTTTTAACAATTCAGAGTCCTTCACATTCATTCAGAAAGTTGTTGACAATTGTTTGCAATTTTCTCTTAACATTTCTCTGCCTCCATCTCCTTAGCTGGAAAATGGGGAGCTCGTGTTTGGACAGTCAAGGATGGACATGGCAGGAGAATGGGTAGCCAGGGCGTGGGGCGCAAACGTGACCAAGATGTCCAAAGCTAAGGTTGACGTTCCTCCAGTAGACGTTTCCCCAGTGAGCTGGGCAGGGTGGCTCCCGCCTGTAATCCCAGCACTTTGGGAGGCCGACGGGGTCAGATCACAAGGTCAGGAGATCGAGACCATCCTGGCTAACATGGTGAAACCCCGTCTCTACTAAAACTACAAAAAATTAGCCAGGCGTGGTGGCAGGCGCCCGTAGTCCCAGCTGCTCAGGAGGCTGAGGCAGGAGAATGGTGTGAACCCGGAAGAAGGAGTTTGCAGTGAGCCGAGATCACGCCACTGCACTCCAGCCTGGATGACAGAGCGAGACTCCGTCTCAAATAAAAAAAAAGAATTGTCCCTGGTGGCCTGTGGGCCTTATTTTCGGGGTTTCTTGGGAGTGCAAAAGGGGCTAGAACATGGCGATGCACTCAAAAGAACCATTGTAACATATATTTTGGTGTGTCATTGATTTTGGAATTTTGAGTGGTGTGTGTGTGACTGCGTCTGTGTGTTTGGGACGGAGTTTGGCCTGGTTTTCAGGGTCATTTCCAGAAGTGACATTCGTGGATGTCTGTCATTACTCTAGACAAGGGCGCTGATAACAACAGGACAGAAACAGGTGGCCACGCTGGAGTACCTTTTCCTATGAGCACCGCCGAGAACCAAGATGCAAAAGCAAAGGGTTCCCCACGCACTACACTTCCGCATGTGACTGGGAAGGCCAGCCCTGAAGACCCTCCCTGGAAGCCCACTCCTTCTGCTCCACACACAAAGTACACACATCTGCTCACCTGCTCTCCTGAAGCACAGTAGATTAGACACAGCTCAAAGGCAGGAGCAGGGCTTTTCATGGCAGCACATTTGGAAGTTGCTGCTAGGATTAAAAAAAAAAAAAGAGTGCAAGGAAACAAAACATGGAAAATAACAAGGGCCCCTGACTGTCCTCGAACACGGGACACTTTAGGATTGGGGCAGCTACAGATTCCCGCGTGTGTGCCGTGACGGGACAGACCTGCAGCCATCATCCGAGAAGGTGTGTCATACAGGAACTTGCTGTTGGTGTCCTCGTGAAAGGAGGTACAAAGGCATAACACAAAAGGCGAAGCGTTCGCACTCACTCTGCTCTCCTGACCTCATCCACTCTGGCCCCTTAATTTTATAGAAAGGCCAGGCTCAGTGCAGACCAAAGTACATTGCTCATTGGTCAGCAGAGCCATACACAGCTCTGTCTAGCTCAGTATTTCTCTCTGTGGAAAAACGAGGCTGAGGAGCACGTGGACTGTCCCAGGTGGGGCAGGAGGACGATTGTTCCTCCTTGCAGGCAGTGCCTATGAACCCCCTCCCTAAGCCGGGTGTGTTCTAGTTGCAGGGTGGTGTAGGGATGAAAGCCAAGATTAGACCATTGGAACAGAAGGGATTGAACGCTTGGAACCCAAGGCAGCACGGGGCAGGGAGAAGGTGCCTCTACTGTGACATGGAAATTCCTCTCTGCTTAACGAGAATGTCCGTTAATAGTTCACTTCTGACCAGATTATTGTATCACTGCCAGCAGATCTGAGAAAAGCCTCTGCGTTTCCAAATTCTAAAGCCATTTCACTTTTTCCTAACGTCAGAAATTCCTTGATTCCTGTTCAAAGTGGCGATGGATGCCAACTCCGCTTAGCTGAAGGCTCTGAGCAGACTCCTCTGGCCCTATTTACAACCTCACGGCCATTTCCACTCGAGGTTCCTACATGGACCTCCACAGAGATGAGCCCTGCTGTCTGCTCAGAGGCCCTCAGAAGAGCTCCAAGGGGGCCTCTCGGGCTTAGAGGGGAGCTGAGAGATGTAGCCCCTGTCCTGGCCAAGCTGGAACTGTGCTTTCATTCCTTCTGAGCCCAGCTCAGCTCCTGGGACTTGGGGAGCTGAGGAAGTGCAGACCCACCCTCTGCTGAGAAGCTCCTGTCTTTGTTGACAAGAGGTGGGTCATGAGGGGACTGGCTAGAGTTCTTCTCCTAAATGGCATTGAGCTGAGGGTGTCTTCCTGGGACACAGACTGAGCCTACAGTTACCCTTTTAGCACCTGAAGGGAGCTTCTGTCGTGAACCCACTAATTGCCGGACTTTGAAATTCGTTATGCATTTGCACGAGGCTTTATGGGGTCTTTCTAGGCGTGTGGTTCCCTGGATGGTTGCAGCTCCCTGAGAGATCAGTAAGAGGGTCCCACCTGGGAGCCCTACAAGCACAGGCTGGGAGACCGTGGAGCAGGCGGCCCAGCAGGAATCTGCTCCCACTTGGAGCTAGAGCTGGGACCAGGACCGACGTTCTGATGACTCCCTGCCCCATGGGATGGAGGGGTCAGCCTGGCCCCAGGGCCACCCTCAAGTCAACAGCAGGAGTCCTTTAGTGAGAGCACCTCTCAATGGAGCCAAGGGTTCTAATGGGATGGAGAGAAGAGAGAAGAAAGGGAGCCGACTCGAAGGGGTGAGAAGCATGGGAGACAGGAGGCAGGAGAGTGGCAGTCTCATCAAGACTAGGACGGTGCTGCCAGAACGTGACTCCACAGGCCCCTCTCCGGGAAGTGCGCACGGCTCACACCCCTGCTGCCCGTGAGGGCAAAGGCACATCTAGATCCCAGCTTGCTCATGTGTGGTCCAGGAACCAGCAGCATCAGCATCACTTGGGAGGCTGTTAGAAATGTAGGCCCTCAGGCCCCACCCCATGGCTCCTGGGTCAGAATTCTCATTTCAGCACAGTCCCTGGGGCATGTGAGCATGTTGCAGCCCCACAAGCTCTGTTCTAGATGACATGGAAGAGTTAAGGGGCCAGGTGTGGTGGCTCACACCTGTAATCCCAGCACTTTGGGAGGCCGAGGGCAGGAGGATCCCTTGAGCCCAGGAGTTCAAGACCAGCCTGGGCAATGTAGCGAGACCCTCTCTCTACAAAAAAATTTAAAAATAATTAGCCAAGCATAGTGGAGTCTGCCTGTAGTCTGAGCTACTCTGGAGGCTGAGGCAGGAGGATCACTTGTGCCTGGGAGGTCAAGGCTGCAGTGAGTTGTGATTGCACCATTAAACTCTAGCCTGGAAAACAGAGTGAGATTTTGTCTCGAAAAAAAAAAATGTGTGAAGGGCAGATTGTGAAGGAGGCTTTCTCACACTGTGGCTTGGTGCCTTCTCAAACAGCCCTGATTAACACCTAATGAGCTGGGATCTCATTAAAACCCTTAAGTGAAAACATGTTTGCTCTATCCCCCTGTTTCATATAGTCACAGGGGATGCTGACTCCAGGTGATCTGATGTGCATTGAGGGAAAAGTCTCCCGGACGGAAATGGCTTTTGTTGGTTTCCTGCAGGATCACTGGGCCAGGGCCAAACACAAGACACTGACAAGTCGAGTGCCCCTGCCCCAAAGGAAACCATCCACAGGACAGTAGGGCACGCCAGGCAGCAGCGAGAGATGGCAGGGGCGACTGTCTCAGGGGAAGAAAGGGCCGGAGCCTAGTCACTGCCCAGCCACTCCCACCACTCGCCATCGACCGAGTCAGTCTCCAAGGCTGGCCCAGTCTCTGGGGAGGGAGCAGCGCCCACACAGGGAGGAGGGAGGAGGGAGGTGGTGGACACCTTCTGAGACTCTACACAGACCCAAGACAGAAACACAGACCCAAGACAGAAACACAGACCCGAGACAGAAACACAGACACGAGGCTGGAACGCAAGACCCTGGGCTCCAGGACACAGGGAGGGTCTTGGGTGGGGGAGCAGAGTTGGCTTTAAAGGAAGGAAGATGCTACCATGAATGGGTGCAGAACAGGAAGGGCCCTTAGAGAATGTCCAGGGTCCATGGGCTGCAGGATTCCTAGGAGTCTGTGATGGTGCCTCGGCTGGTTCCCTGGGGTAGCAAGAGGGTTATAGGGTACTTCGTATCCTGAATTATTTACTTCTGTACTTATCTATTATTCTAATGACAAGATAAGATGATGCTTATTATAAAAATTCAAAGATTCCTTTTCCCTTAAAATGGAAAAATGAAAATCATAAACTTCAAACAGAAAAATTGTAAAAAGGAGCCACGTCAAGTCAAGGAAGTAACATGGTCAGGAGTTAAATGTCCTTAAAGCTCCTGCCATTGCACGCAGCACTCATGGGGCAGGCTGGACGGACAGACAGACTGGCATCAGGGGAAGGGGTTCTTCAGACACATGACAAGGATTGAGTCTATCTTTCAGAAAAACATTTTGAGCCAAATGGCTTGGCACACGGAGAAAGAACACAGTTTGAATCTCATGTCTTTAAAACTCAGTAAATTCAGATCCATCAAAGAATTAAATATTAAAAACTAAAATGTAAATGTTCTAGAATCCAATGATGCTGAAAAGGCTTGGAGTTACTGAAGGAGGCCTTTTTTTAAGCATGTTCCCAACTCCAGAAATCATACTGAAAAATATTGATAAGTATGACTACATAAAAATGTAAAATAGCTGAAAAAAAAAACGCCTACAGCCAGGATGAAAATCAAATTTAAAAACTGGGAAGGTGTTTTTCACACGCATGATTGACAAGGTCTATTATGCAAAGGATATTTACAAATAAATTAGGAAAAAATCCCAATAGAAAGAAATGGCAAGAGGCTATGCACAGGCATACAAAAAGAAAAGAAAAACAACCAATAATTACAGAAAAGAAATGCAAAATAACAATAAGAGTGTTAAACATTAGCTATTGGATTGAGAAATATTAAAGATCAAAGAAATCTGTGCTGGCGAGTCTTCTTGTGTGCTTAGTAGCGGCTCACGTTAGAACCATCAAAAACACAGTTCCGAAACCAGCACCATAATGTGTGATGGCTCCAGCTTCTGCCTGAGTCGTTATTTGTTGTAAAGGTGATAACTGCACAAGGTTAAACGAGGGATGCACGAAGATGTTCATAGGAAATGATTTATTAAACAAAGGGAAAAAGAAAAACATGACATCTCTAAATGCTCATTAATGGAGATTGGCTATATAAGCTCTGATAAATCTACTGAAAGATCACATGCTAATTAAAAGCAATGACGTACATGTCTGCTTGTTGTGAACTATTTCTATATCATATTGTTGACAGAAGAAAGCTGATTTCAGAGTAAAGTGTACATGCGTACAGGATAAACTTGCATTTAGGTGGACAAGCAACCCTTTCCTCTCTCCCGGAAGTGCCATCGCCCAGGAACGTGCTTGGGAAAGAAAGAGGGGTGCTCGAGTATTCTTGCCCAGTTTGTTGACGTGAGCGCTGCACCCAGACCTGCCTGCCCCCTGCCCTACCTTGCTGTGGGTCCAGCATTGGTGGGAATTGGTGGGAAGCACTTTGCTCTCCCAGCTCCAATCTGATAGATGGAGGAACCCCGAGCCAGGGCAGCCGCAGCCATTTCTAGGTGGTTGAGCTTTAGTGGATTTCTACTTTCTGTTTTACGGATTGTGTAATTTTTCCCCCATGTGTAACTTCAAAAACAAAGAATAACTTTTCAAAGATAGGCACAGAGTGGTGTGTGGAGGGCTGAACATTCCTGCACCTGGCAGTGTGTTTGAAGAAGTCCAGGGCATTTATCAAAGCACGGCAGGATTTGAGAAGAGTGCCTAGCTGCTGTGAGCTACCAGCCCTGGGGTCCTGGTGATCCTTCCATTTGCGTCTTGTGCTCTGGCTTTCAAAGCCGCTCTCGTCCATGATCGTCTGGGGGAGTTTCAGAGGCGCCTGAAGGGAAGTGAATGGATACAGGGGCCTCTCTGGGCATTCCTCGGAAAGTCCAGCAGTGCCTCCGGGAGGCGTGGGTACCGGGCCTGGGTGCTGGCCTGGGGGCCCTGGTCTCAGGGACAACCCAGCCTGGAGGCAGCGTGAGGGGAGGACGCCTTTCTGAGTCTCTTCCAAGAGCACCTTCCATCCTGCAGCAGTGGGAGCGGTTCACCCTGGCTTTATTCTGTTGGCCCTCTCATCCTGTCCCTGCCGCTTAGACAAGGATCAAGGATGGGCCAATGGGATGCAAAGGTAGCTGAACCCACACCTGCCCCTTGCAGCACCCGTGGGGGGGCATGTCCCTACTCAGGACTGGTGGGAGGATGGGCATCAGCCAGGGCTGAACACTGAGTCTACCTCCCTCTGGGACACAGCCTGTGGCTTGGGCCGGGCAGTGGCCTCACTGCCACACATGCCCCACTCTGCCCCATGTGCCCCCGCTCTGTCCACGTGCCCCATGCTGTCTGACTTTGCTTTGATGTTGTGCAAGTGGTACATGGAGGAGTTGTAGCAAAAGTTGGCCGTGAAGTGCGGTCTCTTAGAAGCCCTTTGTGTCTGGCTCTCTGCATCCTCAAAGGCCTTTGTCTCCACATTTGCCCATTTTCACCCTCCCCTCTGAGGGAGTGAGGTCTGATGATCCCTGGTAACTCTCTGTAGGTAGTTTGGACTCAGCATCTCTCTGGATCCAGCAAAGAAACCAAAGATGAGAACCACCACGGCGACTTCTCAGAAGTTCCCCAGAGAGCAGATGAGAGAGAAGACTTCCTAACTGCCCGCTCTGCAGGATTGGTTCAAACCCCAACTCACTGGGCCCCTCTTCCTTGCCTGCTGCTCACTGAGTAGGTGGGACCAGTGAGGGCTCAGAGACCAGAAGCAGGTCCCCTGGGCCGGGGCTTGAGGGAGCTGGGTAGGACCGTCAGCTTCTTATCAGCCAGGCTCCCCTTCCCTCATTAGGCAGAAGAGCAGGGTGGTAATAAAATAAAGGACTGCCGAGTGCTCTCGGGGAGCTCTGAGCAGGGGGCAGTTGGCTTAAAAGGCAAAAAGGCAACCACGAAGCTCACGGCAAGGTGAACACCATGCGCCGTGAGGGTGGTGCTGCAGCTGGTGGAGCCGCACAATAGATAACACCCGCTCTGGCTGATCCAGAAGGCTCAGGTGTGTCATGATGCGTTTAGCTTTTTAATGTATGTCACGGCATATCTCAGGACCCAAGTTCACCGTGCCAAAAGGAAAAATAAAGCTGGATGGAAGCTCTGTCATGTTGTCATGTGAGAAACTGCCTTCCCTTTTTTTTCTTTTTTTTTTTTTGAGACGGAGTCTTGCTCTGTCACCAGGCTGAAGTGCAGCGGCTCACTGCAACCTCTGCCTCCCGGGTTCAAGCAATTCTCTGCCTCAGCCTCCTGAGTAGCTGGGATTACAGGTGCCCGCCACCGCACCTGGCTAATTTTTTTGTATTTTTAGTAGAGACGGGGTTTCACCATCTTGGCCAGGCTGGTCTTGAACTCCTGATGTTGTGATCCACCCACCTTGACCTCCCAAAGTGCTAGGATTACAGGCGTAAGCCACCGTACTCGGCCTCCTCTTGTTCTTAAGCAGAGAGCTCGGAGAGGAGGCCCGGGATCTGCACAGTGGCTCTGCTGTGCTTCCTGTGTCTCACGGAAACTGCTGATTTACCGAACGCCAGAGAAATGCACCACCCATTCCTCTACCTGCTCCTCTTCACGTATGACACGAGGGTTCAGTCACGTGACCATGCCCTCCAATTTCCCTCGCTGCCCCCTTTTCCTCTTAAAATATGGAAACCCTCGAAAGCCTCTTTGGAAAAAGCACAGATCACAGACTCTTCCTGTAGTTTTGTGTTCCTTTTTTCACAGTCTCATCCTTAACCCGGGCAAAATAAACCTCTGAGTAGACTGAGACCTGCCTCAGACACTTTATGGTTTACACAGTCAATGACAGCATACGAGCAGTTGAAGCTACCCATTTATTCTGAAAGGGGATTATCCGTGTGAATGTAAGAGTGAGGTCCAGGAGGAGATCCTCGGAGACCTCTTCTTCCTCGCTGAGCATCACCCTGTAGGAGCTGGTGGCCTGGGCGTCCCACTGCGCATCAGCCTCAGGTGCACTGGGCTGGGGGATCTCCGGAGGCCTGGGCCTCACAGACCGGACAGGTGGTGCCTGCTTGCCCCGCTACTCCTCGCTGGTTCAAGGCCCAGGCTCTGGGGAGCTTTGGGCAAATGACGGGGGACCGCCGCTTCCATAAAATCCTGCCGTGACCTGCCTACAAGGCTGGGTGAGACCTGATTCTTTCATTTTAAAACCGGGATGGAGCTGAAAGGAGCATCATGTCTTGGAGACTCTGAAAACTCAGCCCTTTTGTTTTACAGGGAGGGAGACAGAATCAGACTGTGGAGGAGGCGTGCCTGGAACTGGGGACTCCGGCAGCCACAGGTCTGGCTCCTGGCCCAGGATCTTTTGCTCCATGCTGCTGCCCTCGGAGGGCCCTCAGCTCCCTCTGAGACAGTGAGGATGCCTAGGGCCGTAGCCCCTCACTCAGAGAGCCTCAGAAAGCTACCAGGGGGCCTGAAAAGTGTCTCCAAATACTGGGCTCAAAGATGCCTGGCCACACATATGGCCCGTTGTCAGAACTGACCATTCACAGGTGGGTGGTGTCCACCATGGTCTGACCATCTCCAGAGACCCTGCCCTCCCCATCCTCTGCCCGTCAGCACAGCTGTGTCCAACGAGCCTGAGGCTGAGGCTACTGTGACTTGCTGGCCACATGTGCTTGGACAATGATTCTCACCACTGCACCTCGGTGTCGCACGCAGAGGTCTCTGGCCTCCCTGGAGTGAGTGGATGAGCTACAGGGACATTGGAGTTGCTGGCACAGAGCTGGGCCTCTGTGGGTCAGCTGGAGCTGCACCAGGCATGTCCCTGGGAGCCTCCCTAGGGCTGGCTCTCAGAGGGCAGCACCCATGTGGTACATGCTGGGGGCAGCGGGGCCCAGCTGGGGCCATCACATGCAGTGGCAGTGAGGAAGGGGCGTGTTCGCTTAGACACACCGGTCCGTGCCTCAGCCACCCCCAGCACCCGAGGGACTTCACACACCTGGGATATTTTCAAAGCCCACACCAGAGCTATGTGATTGTTCTTTGCAGCTTCCACACAGGTGCGTGGCCTCCTCGGCCAGCCAGCGCTAACCAGCAGTGAATTTGTCCCTCTCTTGGGAAGCATGACTCCAGCTTAATTTTTTTTTTCTATCTTTAGCATCTTCAACTTCTTTTCCCTTTATACGACAAGGCCGTCCTTGTCCCCACTCCCTGCTGCATGCAGCGAGCCCTGTGTTCCCTTTGTCCTTTCAGAAGCACTGGCTGCCATCTCCCGCACAGCAGTGGCTCCCTGCGGATTGCGGCGAAGGCGTTATTCCAGGGGAATAATAAGGAAATGGAGACTCGGAAAACAAGGCACTGGCTCGTCAAGCCTGCGAGACAACCACATTGGTTCCTCCTGAATCTTGTTAAGAATTTGCGGTAACATGTTTTGGCTGCTGCTGGAGCACTGAAGGGTCCTCCCTGGTGGCCGCTGGCAACAGAGGTGGTGAACCGGGGAAAGGTGTGCTGTGATGCTACGGCGCCAGGATAAGGACGCTACGGCGCCAGGATAACGATGCTACATCGCCAGGATAATGACGCTACATCGGAACTTAAAACCCTGTCAAATTCAGTGAAGACACTGAGTACTCAAGCGAGAACAGCAAGTGCGAGGCCCTAGGGAGGCTAGTGAGAGCTACGCTTCTGTATGTGGGGCCTCCTGGGAGTCAGACTCAGAAGTGAGCATAAGTCAGAGATCAAGCAGGGCTTCATGGAGGAGGTGTCCTTGCAGGGGCCTGTGAGGATAAGGAGGAGCTCACCAGGCAGCAGCAATGGAGGCAGAGGGACATCGCGGGTAAAGAAGGGAAGATGAGAGAAGATCCAGCCTGTTCCTCACACATGGTGTCCCCAAGGCCTCGGCAAGTGTGACAATGACACAGGCGTGTAGGGTACAGCAGGGACGGGGCAGCAAGGGTGTGGGGTTTATATCCAGGGATCTTCTATTTGATCAGCAGGACCTGGAGCACAACTTTAAATCTATGGAATCTATTATTTGTTTCCAACACTAAGAGCATTTCAGGCGGGGAAGGATGGAAGGGGCAGGGGCTCGGGATGACGGTTAAAGAGACGTTATCTTTATTTTTTATTTAATTTTTTTTTTTGAGACAAGAGTTTTGCTCTGTTGCCCAGGCTGGAGTGCAGTGGCACGATCTCAGCTCACTGCAAACTCCACTTCCCAAGTTCAAACAATTCTCATGCCTCAGCCTCCCAAGTAGCTGGGATTATTATAGGCGCCTGCCACCATGCCCAGCTAATTTTTTTTTTTTTTTTGTATTTTTATTAGTGACGGGGTTTCACCATGTTGGCCAGGCTGGTTTCAAACTCCTGACCTCAGGTGATCCGCCCACCTCGGCCTCCCAAAGCGCTGGGATTACAGGCATGAGCCACCGCACCCGGCCAGAGAAGTTAACTTTAACACTCATGCGTTTAAAACGAAGACTGGAACCTGAGCCAGCAGTAGGCTCATAGTGGCTTTTCCTCATAGCTGCTCGCTATTATGATACTCAGTATTTTTAAGCTTCTTGAGAGTGTGCAACGTGTGTACACAACATTTCACGGTTTCCCCGGGCCTTGGCCTGACCTTTGCTGATAACAGACTCGGGGCTTGCTTCAGCTCCGAGGCTTCTCCCTCCTGCCTGGCTGTGGCTGGGATGTGTTCCCTTCCCTCTGACGCTGTCTTCGCGGGGACCACTCCTGCGCGCCACGCCCAATCGTTCTTGCCCGTCGTCTTTGCCATCGTGGGGGGTTTTCATTTTGTTCTTTGTCCTTCCCCTCTACATCCCACGACGGTGTCTGGGGTTTGTCCTCTCCATCCCCAGCAGGTTTCTGCAGCAGCGTGGGGTCTTGAAGCTGAGTTCACAGCTTTGCTCAGGTGGAACTTCCCTTCCCTGCTGTCCCCAGCGCCTCGCCCAGCCTGCGTGTTCCTTCCTGCTACTCCTCAGCCAATTCCATTTTCATCCCAGTCTGTCACTTAGTTATCTCGCTCTCCATCTCTTTTCACAGAGTTTCCTGAGTCTTGTTGAGAACACAGAACAGATGCTTTCTAAAAATTGCCTTTTATCCCACGGTGAGCAGTGACTCTATACCATTCACATTCATGAATATATAAAGACACAGACGAATGGATACAACGAGCTCCCTCTCTGCAGCTCCGGAGCTCTGTGCAGGTTGTAGAATGACTTGTCCTGGAAGACAAACCATTTTCCCAGGCATAGCAGGTGGGCTCCCTGGCTCCTCGCACCATCCATCTGGCTGACTGAGGACCTTCGCTGCAGCTCACCTGCGGAGCCCAAAGGCCAGTGTCTGGCCTCCACCAAAAGGACCACCCCAGCTCCATGCAGAATTTCAGCCCCCACCCCTCAGTCATCTCACAAGGAAGAACGGAACTCACCTCCAGATAACTTCAAAGTTCATCACTATTCTCTTACCAGAAAGGGTCAGTCACCAGGTACTAGAACCCTGGGTTGCTGGGCCCACGGGCTCTTCCAGGGCGGCCGTTCCCTGCAGCCAGCTGTGCCTTCCCAGATGCGGTCTCTCCCTGGCCGCTCTCACGTGCCACCCAGTCCCGAGGTGGGACAGAAAATGGTTCCAGCGTGGTGTAGACATGAACATGTATTCATGGCCCGGAAAGTGGCAGACGCACAGCAGAGGGGGGCTGCGGCTAGGGGGTCTCAGTTCCAAGAATCCAACCCAAAGAGAGAGAGGTGCCAGTGGGGACCTGGTCGCACTCCAGCTCACTGACCACACCGTGGGAGACAGAAATCCCTGCGGCGGAGCACTGACCCATAGTCCTGGCTCCCAAGGCTCCTCCACGGGTATTTCAGTGGGGAGGTGGTGACGGGTGGTTGGCAGAGCGAGGGTCCAGCAAAATAGAAGCACCTCCCCCTTCACGCTTCTTCTCACCAGCTCATTTTCACAGGGCAAGAGGGAGTGGAATAAATGATTTGGGGTATTTTACGGCCCGTTTTACAGCACGATTAATGGCCCATTGACATATGAACTGGTTGCAGAACCAGTTGCCCACGCACGAAGAGACTGGCAACAGGGAGGGGGTGTGGCTTTGCTCACTCTCCTCTTAAATGAGTCTGGCTTGAGTTGGGTTCAGGTGGCAGTCGACGGGACTTAAAACTGAGTCTGGCTAGAGTTGGGATCAGGTGACAGTTGACTGGGCCTGAGATTTTGTCCGGAACTGGTTCCTTCCCGTGGGTTTCTGGTCCTGCTGACTTCAAGAACGCAACCACAGACCCTCGCGGGGAGTGTCACAGCTCTTAACGGTGGTGCGGACCGAAAGAGCAAGCAGCAGCAAGATTTATAATCAAGACAAAAGAACAGACCTGAGCATGTTCCCGCAGCAAGCTGGCAGTGGCCAGCTTTTATTCCCTTATTTGTCCCCGCCCATGTCCTGTTGATTGGTCCATTTTACAGAGCACTGATTGGTCCATTTTACAGAGTGCTGATTGGTCCATTTTACAGAATGCTGATTGGTCCATTTTTACAGAATGCTGATTGGTGCATTTACAATCCTTTAGCTACACACAGAGTGCTGATTGGTGCATTTACAATCCTTTAGCTAGAAAGAAAAGTTCTCCAAGTCCCCACCTGACCCAGAAGCACAGCTGGCTTCACCTCTCAAGATGTCATCACCAGGATAGAGAAAATTACAGAAGCAATTGAACAATTTAGTCATCAGATGTAGTCAGCTGAAGAGTTTGTCCCTGGATATTTGTACTAAAACATAGTAAAACCAAAAGCCAACACATGATATTAGTTAACAAATGGTTCAATTAAAGAATTCATTGAAGAATCTGACCTGCAATGGAAGAGCTGTTCAATGGATCCATTTTCTAAATACTTTCCTGGGCTTGGCTCTTCTGAGCTTAGCTCACTTTGGGGACAGAGGCAGGAGAAGGATGTGACTTTCATGTTCTAGATGAAGAGGTTGGTGCTTAGGGAGGTAGGTGCTTTCTGGTCTTCTGGCTAGTGAGCATCTGAGCTGAGGCTGAACCCACACCATTCTGCCTCCAGTGAGTGGGGTTGGGGGCTGGGGTTCGGGTTGATGTATAGGAACAGCATGCCAGTATGGATTCTAATTCTGGACATAGAGTATATGTGTTGCTTCCTACTCCTCTCAAAGATGAGGGCTTCTCTGCCAATTTCGGTGGCTGGCTTAGTATCCCTAATGGCTGGGATGTTATCGTGATCATTTGGAGATTTCATGAAATCATCCCTCTTTGGCAAAATGTATGAATCATCACTGTGTCTTCCTGGACTTCTGAGGTGTTGGGGAACCCGTGGAGAAGGGGGGCTCATTTTCCTAATGAGAAAAGAGACGAATTAAATGAGGACTTTGATGATCTGAGGCAGCACCAGCAAATGCACGGCTC
This sequence comes from Homo sapiens, assembly GCF_000001405.40. NCBI lineage: Eukaryota > Metazoa > Chordata > Mammalia > Primates > Hominidae > Homo > Homo sapiens. The sequence goes on along the minus strand of NW_011332689.1, from coordinate 102,867 downwards.
ACCATGGAGAGTTAGTACAGAAGTTAACCGTTTACTTAGGAAATTTCAGGAATGAAAAAAGAGAAAATGAGGCCAAGCAGGAGTCAATTCAAAGAAGTCTTCAACATGCTTATTTATTCTCGGCATATTTTCAACTTCTTCTTATGGAGAATTTTAAACATATAAAGAACATGTAGAATGCTACAGTGTATTTTCATGTACCTAACACCCAGCTTCAAGTACTGTCCTAAATCAATATACATATTTTTACATCTAAATTCTCTCAGCCTGGCCAATATGGTGAAACCCTGTCTCTATTAAAAATACAAAAACTAGCTGGGTGAGGTGGCGGGTGCCTGTAATCCCAGCTACTCAGGAGGCTGAGGCAAAAGAATCATTTGAACCCGAGAGGTGGAGGGTGCAGTGAGCCAAGATTGTGCCATTACACTCCAGCCTGGGCAACAGAGAGAGAACCTCTCTCAAAAAATAAATAAATAAATACATAAATTCCCTCACACTTCCCCTTTCCTCATATTTTTTAAGAAATAAACCCAAGGCATTATAAAATATCTTTTGTACATGTTTCTGCATGTATTTCTAAAAGGTAAAGGCTCGTGTTTTTAGGCAAGATAATGGTTATGTCCTTACTATTTCAAAAACATTTAATATCAAATATCATCAGTGTTCAAGTTTTCAATGGCCTCATAAATGTCAATTTGTCTTTCTTACATTTTGTTTGTTTGAGTCAGAATCCAAATAAGGTTGACACAGTGTGATTGATGGATGTTTTTAAAGTCTCTTTCAATCTGTAGATTTCCCTTTTCTATAATTATTCTTTGAAATATATCTGCGAAAGGAACATTCCTGCATATTTCATTTTGTGTAGTCATTGCTAGATTTCAAGATGAGAGGGAGAGCAAAGAAAGAAGGCCTGGGTCCAGTGGAACTCTCAGGGTTCTGGATAAATCGGTTTCTTATGGCTCTTTTCCAAGTGGGGAGTGCAAAGGAGGATTTGGGACATGTGCACTCTGCGCTGTCTTTGTTCTGGGTTAAAGCTCACATTTCAGCTCTCTGTGGCTGTCTGTAGAATGGGTTGAAATAAATGCAAGTCCCAACCTTTCGGAGAACCTTTCAGAGAACTTCCAAAGATAAAAATACAAAGACAAAAATATGAACCTCTTCAGAGGACCAGGAAGGTGCTTCAAGAAGCCAAAAACAATAATAAGTAACTGAGTGCCCGCTGTGTGGCAGGAACCAGGCTCAGCGCTTAGATTACCATTTGGATTTTTTTGCTGTTGACTATAATTTGATTTATTGTTTCCTTTTTAACAGGACAAAATGATGCCATCTAAAACTGTCTTTAAATTGTTGGAAAGCATTTACCCCTCTTCCTGATCATCCCAACGCCCCACAGGGAACAGGCCAGGAATGAATCATGTACTTCACCTCTAGTACCTTGCATAGAGTGGGCTTTTTATGAGTGGCCAACAGATGCCATTCATGGTCTAGGACTCCACTAATTTGAGAGGAAAGGAAGAAAAAATGAAGTTCATTTCTCTCACTCACCTGTATTAAAATGTCTAAGGGAAGGCATCCATTTTTTATAATGGTGAACTATGTTAACCATTGTCACTAACAAATCCTAAAAATCTAGATTAAATGTATCTTAAAAATTGGTTTAAAGGCACCAGAGGACTACCAAGGCAAAGAATAGTCCAGGGGTCAGGATCCTGGAGAGAAGAAAAACAAAGAGAAATGAGTCCAACATTTATCTCTTCTTCCTACGTGGAGACATTCATAATCTTTGGCCCAAACAACTGGTAAGTTGAGCAAATTGCCCCAGCTGAGAGCCTGAGAAGTGTCAGCCACATCATGGGGCTTGGAGGACAGCAAATGGAATGAAACTCCCATCAGAGAGTATGGCCTAGCAGAAATTCCAGTCTTCACCTGAAGTCAATAGTCAGCCTTCTCAATGACCAAACACCTCACTTCCAGGTGGGGCTAAGTGAGCTTCCCCTTCCCCTTAACTAGTTACCAGAAGCAAAAATAAATCCTCTTTGGAGGAAGATAAGTAAAAACCTCAAACTTTGATTTGCCTCAAATATTTATACACATTATCAACTGTTCAATCAAGATTACCAGACATGCTAGAGACAACAGCAAATGACCAAACACCAGTGGGGAAAAACAGAGGATAGAAAGAGATCCAAAGAAGATACAGATACAGAAGTTACTATGGACTTTAGAATAGCTCATGAATATGCTTAAAAATAGCTGGCAACACAAAAAATTTCAATAAAGAGCTGAAAATTTTGAAAAATTCAAATGGAAAATAGAATTAAATTAAGAAGTCATCAAATGGATTTAAAAGCAAATCAGACATGACAAAAGAGCATATTAATGAGCTAGAAGGTGAGTCAATAGAAAACAGCCAAAATGAGGGACCAAGAGGCAAAAGGATGATATGTACAGTATAAGAACATAAAAAGCACGTGGGAGATGGGAAAAATAAAAGCCTAATGTATACGCGGTTGGAGTCAGAGAGAGAGAGAGAGAGAGGAAAAGAGAGAATAGGACAGAGCATATAGAAATGTTGAGGATATGCTGGCTGGGCATTTTCTAAAACACTACGTGCATCAAGCCACAGAACCAGCAAAGTTACAAACTCCAAGTAGAATGAATAAAAAGAAAGCCACAGCTAGGCATATTGTAGGAAAACTACTGAAAACCAAGGACAAAAAGAAAATATTAAAGGAAAGTTGGGTCATCTCATACCCATTACGATAGCAACTACAAAAAAAAAAAAAGAAAATAAGTTTGCTGAAAGAGGTGGAGAAATTGGAACCCTTGTGTACTGTCGGTGGGAATGTCAAATGGTGCAGCCACTACCCAAAACAATACCGTGATTCCTCAAAGCATTAAAAATACTTTTACCATATGATCCAGAAATTCTATTTATGGGTATACTCCCAAAAGAACTGAAAGCAGAGTCTCAAAAAGATATTTGAAGATTGATTTTCATAGCAATATTATTCACAATTGCTAAAATGTGGAATGAACTCAGGTATTCATCAATAGATGAGTGGATAGGCAAAATGTAGTATACATATAAATGCAATGTTATTTAGCCTTAAAGAGGAAGGAAATTCTTTTTTTTTTTTTTTTTTTTTTTTTTTTATTGATCATTCTTGGGTGTTTCTCGCAGAGGGGGATTTGGCAGGGTCATAGGACAATAGTAGAGGGAAGGTCAGCAGATAAACAAGTGAACAAAGGTCTCTGGTTTTCCTAGGCAGACGACCTTGCGGCCTTCCGCAGTGTTTGTGTCCCTGGGTACTTGAGATTAGGGAGTGGTGATGACTATTAACGAGCATGCTGCCTTCAAGCATCTGTTTAACAAAGCACATCTTGCACCGCCCTTAATCCATTTAACCCTGAGTGGACACAGCACATGTTTCAGAGAGCACGGGGTTGGGGGTAAGGTCATAGATCAACAGGATCCCAAGGCAGAAGAATTTTTCTTAGTACAGAATGAAACGAAAAGTCTCCCATATCTACTTCTCTCTACACAGACACAGCAACCATCCGATTTCTCAATCTTTTCCCCACCTTTCCCCCTTTTCTATTCCACAAAACCGCCATTGTCATCATGGCCCATTCTCAATGAGCTGTTGGGTACACCTCCCAGATGGGGTGGTGGCTGGGCAGAGGGGCTTCTCACTTCCCAGTAGGGGTGGCCGGGAAGAGGCGCCCCCCACCTCCCGGAAGGGGCAGCTGGCCGGGCGGGGGCTGACCCCCCCACCTCCCTCCCGGACGGGGTGGCTGGCCGGGTGGGGGCTGACCCCCAACCTCCCTCCCGGATGAGGGGGGCTGGCCAGGTGGGGGGCTGACCCCCCACCTCCCTCCTGGATGGGGCGGCTGGCTGGGCGGGGGGCTGACCCCCGACCTCCCTCCCGGACGGGGCGGCTGGCCGGGCAGGGGGCTGACCCCCCACCTCCAAGAGGAAGGAAATTCTAACACATGCTACAACATGGATGAATCTTGAGGACACTGTGCTAAGTGAAACGAACCCATCACAAAAAGACAAAGGCTGCATGAAAGTATTTGAAAAAGGTATTCAAAGTACTTGAAAAAAGTATTAAAGAAAGTGGAATGGGGTTTGCCAGGGGCTAGGGGAAGAGGGATGGGGAGGGAGTGTTTAATGGGGACAGAGTTTCAGTTTGGGAAAATGGAAAGTTTCTGGAGACGATGGTGATGATGGTTGTACACATTCGGAATATATTTAATACCATGGAATTGTACACTTAAAAATGATTATTGTGGAAAATTTTATGTTATGTGTATCTTACCACAATAAAAATTGAGAGAAAAAAAGAAACTGGGGTTGGATCTGGGAAAGATAGATACATTATTTACAAAGAAATAAACCCGACAGCTACTTCCTCAACAGAAAAAAGTAGAAGTCAGGAGACAATTGAATGATGTATTTCAAGTGCTAAAAGAAAATAATTGCCAACTCAGAATTCTATGCCCAGTGAAAATATCTTCTAAACCTAAAGGTAAAATAGATGTTTTCATATAAAGTCTGAGAAAATTTGCAACTAAAACACAGACCTAAAGGGGATTATTTATTTATTCATTTATTTATTTATAATTAATTAATTATTATTTTTTTGAGACTGAGTCTCACTCTGTTACCCAGGCTGGAGTGCAGTGGCATGATCTCGGCTCACTGCAACCTCTGCCTCCTGGGTACAAGAGATTCTCCTGTCTCAGCCTCTCGAGTAGCTGGGATTACAGGTGTGCCCCACCACACCTGGCTAATTTTTGTATTTTTACTAGAGACGGGGTTTCCCAGTGTTGGCCAGGCTGATCTCAAACTCCTGACTTCAAGTGATCCACCCACCTCGGCCTCCCAAAGTGCAGGGATTACAGGCGTGAGCCACTGTGCCCGGCCAGTACAAGGGGATTCTTCTTGTAGAGGGAAAACGATCCTAGGTGGAATCTTTGAAATGAAGGAATAACGAGAAAAAAGGTAAACCTACATGGGCCAATCTAAGTGAATATTTAGTGTTTAGGACAACAAAAATCATGTTCTGTGAGATTTAAAATAAATGTAGAACTAAAATACGGTAGCATAGTAGCAACAGTAGCATAGAAGTAAATGGAATCTAAATATTCTTAGGCCCTTGCAGTGTATTAAAATTATTTTGGAGTTTTATTTTTATTATATAAACTCATAAAATTTTACTGTATGTTATGTAAAATGTACATAATAAAACTAGATCTTATAAATTTGTATGTAAATATATACTATATGAATATACATATTTTATAAGTGAAGGATACATTTTGAAAATCTCTAAGCCTAAGATAACCTCTAAAAGAAGAGTGAAGAAATGTACGATTAAGGAGTTTATAGGAAGGAAAAAATTCACAAAAGAAAATTAATACTGTATAAGCTGAAGGAGAGAAAAAGATACAAACGACATTGAGGAAAAATGGAAAAACAATAAAACAGTAATTTTAAAGGACAGAGTGTCCTTGCCATCCACATAACCCATGACTCATCCCAGAGTATGGAAGGACTCCTGGACATCAATGAGGAAACGTCAGAAAGCCGAATGGGAGATAAGCAAGAGACCTAACAGGCTGTGGATGAAAGAGGCCACACAGCTGGCCAGTGGACATCGAGGTGCTCAGCCTGGCCAGATGTCAGAGAAACACACATGAAGGCCACAGCATGGTGGAAAGGCTCAAAGACAGCAGCCTGCGCTGGCCAGGGCTGGCCAGTTGTGGGGCAGCGGACCCTTGCCTGCTGGGGGAGCCTATGGTGGCACAGCTATGTTGGAGGCCAGTCAGGGCATTGCTATACCCTAGCGTGCACGCTCCCCATCCCACCAATGGATCCCCATCCCAGCCAGAAGCCAGAAGCCATGCACACATACCCAAACCTGGGCACAAGGATGAGACATCCCTGAATAGCAGGATGAATGCATTGTGGCATCCAATTCAGTCCCAATCAGCAATAGCAATGAGTGCACTCACAGCATGCATGCACTCCCAGGCATGACTCTTACAGGTGCAATGGTGAGTAAAAGATGTCAGGCCAGGAGAATATATGCCACATCTTTCCATTCATGCAAACTTCAAATCTTCACATTCATACAAACTTCATGCAAACTTTAAATCTTCAAGTTCATACAAACTTCAAATCTTCACATTCATACAAACTTCATGCAAACTTTAAATCTTCAGATTCATACCAACTTCATACAAACTTCAAATCTCCATACAAACTTCAAATCTTCAAGTTCATACAAACCTCCAATCTTCAAATTCATACAAACTTCATATCTTCAAATTCATGCAAACTTTATACAAACTTCGAATGTTCACATTCATACAAACTTCGAATGTTCAAATTCATACAAACTTCAAATCAGTGGGATGCGTACCGTGGGGAGAAGGGGCCAGGTGGAGGCTGGGGAGGGCTCCAGCCCCAGGAGGCCCAGGAGTACCAGTAACACCCTGCCTGTTTGTCTGGAGGCGGTGAGACAGGTGCTGTGAAAATCCAGCATGCTGTACCCTGGTGATTTGGCACTTTTCTGTAGGGAAGTTAAACTTCAATAAAAGAGTTTATTTAGAAAAATAAAAGAGGCCAGGCCCATTTTTGGGGTTATGGTTATGTAAGTGCAGATATTCTAGGAAACTCCTTATTAAAAGCATGGTCTAGAGAAGAGATGATGTCATTCTGTCCCAGCACTGTGCGGGTATAAGGCAGCAATGTCAGGATAAAGTGGAGCCCAGCCTGGAGCGGGCAGCAGAGGGATGGGAGGATGCGTATGTTGGCGGTGACCCTGCAGGGCCTGGGTGGGCCGAGGAGCAGCTGCAGACTCCCACTGCTCTCACGAAGACCTGGCCAGGCATGCGCAGCGTGCTGTGGTGGGGGCAGATGTGAACAGCACTGGCCCCTCCCTGTCCCTGAGGGCCCTGCCACTCACCATGGGATGCCAGCAGTGCAGGGGCTTGACCTGCTGGGATAGACTCCGGCCGCATTAGGACCCCTGGCAAGGGGCCTTGTTTCCTTATTTGTTTGCTTGGACTTGTGAGTTAGGCTAACTTGATTTTTTTTTTTTTTAAAGTCACTAACCCTGTAGTCCATACGAGCCCACGAGGGTCAGCTCGGGCACTGGGAGACAGCCCAGGCCAGACACGGACAATGTGGATGATGTGGACGACGTGGATGAGGGCACCTGCAGGCAGCAAGGCCCCGTCCTGTGGGAAAGCAGGAGGCACTGAGTGGAGCCAAGCACAAGGTCCCTGCTCTCAGACTCTCCTTTCAGACAAGGCACGTGCACCAGGCAGGAGCATGGGGGACAGAGAGGAGTCCAGATGCCGCCCCTGGGCTTGCTTCCTGGGAAGGCAGAAGGGGCTGGGAGGGAAGCTCATCCCCAACATCCAAGGACCAACTCCCGAGCTGTGTGCTGTGTGGGGTTTTCCTGGGTGAGAGACTGTTGCAGGGACAATTCGTTTCCTTCCACGCAGCAGCCCTGAGCCCTCTTGCGAGGGAGACGAGGCAGGACTGGACCTGCTGCTGCAGGGGATGGGAAGGCAAGCTGCCGAGGCCCTGGCTGCAGGAGCATGTGGGCATGCTGAAAGGTCTGGGCGTGCAGTCAGAGGCCATGTCCTAGGGGCTCCAGTGACCCCCTTAGCACCTGATGGCCTCACTCCTCCTCCTCTGTTTCGGGTGGTTGGGCTTCTGTCCTCCTGGCTTCCTGGGGCCCCTAGAGCCGCATGCTTTAATTCCATGGCAGCCCCATTGCTCACCCGTGCTCCCCACCTCGTCTGCCTGGGCTCTCTCTGCGTCCACACCCATCCCTGTCAACAGCATGGCAGCCACCCCTGCTGGGGGAACGGGCACATCCTACGTCACCGGATTTTCCACAGTGCTTCAAAAACTGCCTGGAATTGGGAGTGCGGGTCCTCGCTGGGTTTATGAACTTGGAATTGCATTTCTGAGAAGCATCTTAGGCCGATAATAGCACTCCACCATGGAAACACTCCCAAGCTCACTGGCCATGGCAGTTTTAATGCTGCAGTTTATAAAAGAGTTTTTAATTATGCAATGCTCCCTTCCTGTGCGGTATTATGCTTGAGTCCTAATCCTTCGAATTAAGTGGCTAATCGTGAAAAATGCCTCTTGTTGTTCTCTGTAATACTTTAGTTCTGCTCTTTACAGGACTTTTTTTATTTTTTTTTAAGAGAGAAAGAGGTATTATATAATACTGATGTAATAGAATGCAGCTGGAGTTCCAGTATGCAATAGAGTAACTATGGTATTCTTGAAAAGGCTGCTTCTCAGTTAAAATCTTCCCATTTTAGAAAAACAAGGAGGCTCAAATTATGCTACGTTGATATCTGTAGATTGCTCAGTATTGTCCAGGACCGTGGGAGTGCATGAGCAAGAATGGGGGGGGCTCTGGTTCCACTTCCTTGTTTTACAAGTAAGGAAACTGAGGCACAGAGACATTCCCTGCTCAAGGTTCATAGCTGCTCAGTCCAGGTCCTCATAGCTGCTCAGTCCAGGTGCTCATAGCTGCTCATTCCAGGTCCTCATAGCTGCTCAGTCCAGGTCCTCATAGCTGCTCAGTCCAGGTCCTCATAGCTGCTCAGTCAGGTGCTCATAGCTGTTCAGTCCAGGTCCTCATAGCCGTTTAGTCCAGGTCCTCATAGCCGTTTAGTCCAGGTCCTCACAGCTGTCAGTCCAGGTGCTCATAGCTGCTCAGTCCAGGTCCTCATAGCTGTCAGTCCAGGTCCTCATAGCTGTCAGTCCAGGTCCTCTGCCTCCAGTATGCAGAACGCTGCACACGGGAGGAGGAAGCTTCCATCTGCGGCTCTCAGCTTCCTCTTCATCCATGAAGGGAGCAGTCGGCGAGTGTGAGTGGGTGTCCAGGCTGCCTCCTGGGGCCTCGTGCTTTTTAAAAAAACATCCACACTGTATCCTCCCCTACTATGCATGAGGAAACAGAATGATACTAGGTGGGATTATATGGTAGAGAATTCTTACCGAAGAGAAACCACAGAATTAACAGTGAACACTTGCTGGCCCACAGTCTGTTCGAATTCTGCCTCATAGCTCACACGCTCTGCAGGCCAGCCTGGGGATGACCTGAAACGCTGCCCTTCTCCCCTGGGGAGTGGGCATTCAACAGAACCTACGAGCTGCCTGAGCCGTGTGTCAGTCATCTCAGTGACAATGTGTGCCAAGTGCTGGTCGTGGGTAATAGCTTCGGAGTCCCCGTCTGCGGGTGGTTGGTGGAGCTTCAGCAGGAGTCAGCGGGGCCTGGAGGGCTCCATGCCCGGGAGGAAGAGTGCTCGGTGCTTCCCTGTCCCCTTCATGTCCAGCAGTCCCTGAGCCTGTGACTGCCCTGGTCCAACTTCCGTGAACTTCAGGTTTTAATAGTCTCCCTTAAGAATGTAAGGGGATGTTTATAAAATAAGATGCTGGCAGGGTGCTGGGTGCCAAGAAGCAGCAAAGATGGTGGGGCACAATCCCACCCTCAGGTCTTGCCATCAGCCTGGAGGGCACTGGTCTGCTCTTTGGAGCCTGTGTTTGAGAGACACGTTGTTAGATGCTTGCTCTGCGTTCTCTTTCTCCCCTTCTCCAGGATGTTCTTTTCTTTTATCATTGTTCTCTCCTGCATCCGGCGCACTTGAGGCCTGGCCAGACCCCCTGATTCCTTGGTTCTGCCTCCCAAAGTGAGAAAGTGGGGGTGGGCACTGCTGAGTGAACCTGTCCCCCACCTCCTGGACTTCCCACGACGCTGCCTCCTGGGAAGGACTTCAGAGGTCACCCTGTTCCACTCCTTCACTTTCCAGGCCAGGAAACGGAGGCTCACAGCTTCCTGCTGCTCACAGATAAAGTGAATTTCAGTCTGGGCCTTGTGGCGCTGCCCCCAGGATCTGGGGCGGGGTGAGAAAGCGCTGCTCTGAGAATTGAGCCTGGTGAGGGGCCCAGTCTCTGAATCTCAGACCTGCCTTTCACACTGTGCTCCAGGGCCAGGGGCCTGCAGGTGCAATTTTACATACTCCACTGTCCTTAATGTCTACAACTGTTGAAATTCCAAAAATACAACAATGACTTTCTCTTTTAGAAAAAAATCGACCTGTCCAAGACTTGGAAGCCCTAGAGAAATGTGGCCTGGTGCCATGGGACAAAGACCACACAGAGGCTGGCTGTGGCACACCCCCAGGAGGTAATCCTGCTCTCCTGAGGCCATCCTCGTGCTGGACATCAAGTATTCCCTCCAACGTCCGTGTCCCTAGGCACTGAGGACACAGAGATCTAGCCTCAAGTGGTTTCAGCAGGAACCCTGTGGGGTTAAATTCCCAACACGACTAATGAGGCAGGAGTAAGGGTAGGAGGCCATACTGACGGGTCTCCCTGTGGGAAGCCTGGAAGACTCTTCCCTGCACCTTCATGCATCAGCACCTGACTCTTTTGCAAGGTAAGCGCTCTTGCAGGATACCAGCCGCCTGCCAGATGGTTACCTGTTCCTGATCCCTGGCCCAGGAAAGAGAACAAAACCCCTTTTTCCTGATGTAGCTTCCTCAATCTCCAGCCAATCACCACCAAAAGCCCAAGAAGCTATTAGCTATAAATTCTTGCCTTGTGGGGGGTGGCCAGGGACTTCTCCAGGGTCCCTCATGTGCTAGGCTCAAGGTTTAGCTTATAGTGACCTTTTCTTCATTTTAGTAGTCCAAACACATCCACAGGTGGAGATTTCATATGCTAATTATGCATGGAATACGTGTTAGATCATGTAGATTCTGAGCACATGCGCTAGCCGCAGGTCCGCCTTTGCACACCTGACCTCACCAGTGTTTTATGAATATTCATACACAGCTCCCATAAGGGGAATTCCTCTTAAGGCACTGGCTGCTGTCTCTCCCTTTGAGAGGTCCACCCTGCCTCTCAGAGTGTACCTTTGCTTTGCAATAAACTTCTTTGCCTACTCTTACTTTGAACTTGCTCTCAAATTCTTTTTGTGACAAACTCAAGAACCTGAACCAACCTACCAATAACACTTTTACAACATGAAAATTCAAGCACAGCAACTAAATTAAAGTAGCTCGATGGCCTGATCCTTGGCTTTTCAGTCACGTGAATGCTTAGATCTTAACTGATTTCCTCAGGCTATTTTTAACAACAGTGGCTCTGTTGATATAGAATAAATACAAGCTAGCATAGCCAATGACTACTCATGGGAGCAGTAGGTAATATCAAGGTGTTTTTCCTCTTCCCCAACGCTGGAGATATTTATTAGAAAGGGAAAGTGAAGGGAGAAAGGATAACCACATGTTCATGCTAAGAGGACCCATCCATCACTTTAATTCAAGTCAGAATTTAAAAATATCGCACTACGTTCTTGTTTGTTGGATCCAGAGATCCAAGTTATTGGGCATTTCAATCTTGACATTTGCATCCAGACAGTTTGCAAAGGGTAAAGGTAGAAAATGCTGTAAACCCAATCAACTGCTGCTTGATATTCCAAGTAGGGTGAGTAACCTTTTCAAATAATAGAGGAACTTGTGAGTGATAAGATGAACTTTGACCTCTGGAATCACAGATTCTTGGTAATGCATCTCTTTACCTTTGACTTGCCTTCTTTATAAATACCTTGAGGTGCTGGGTTTTGATAATAAAGAAACAAGATCTAGTAAATCTTGTAGAGCTTACAGGCAAGATCCCATATGTCACTGTGGTGCTTTCTGGCTGCAACCGCAGCAACCTTCATGACACCCTGTCATCCTGCCTGGCCACACTGGCCTTTCCAATTGCAGAAACACTCTTGGGGGCTGGAGTGGGTGCAATCCTGCATCATGACCAGAGCTTTCCAAGAAGGGATCTTATTCCAGCCTGCCGATGTGCATGGGGCAGACCTGCCTCAGTCACCCTGACTTCATTTCTAATTGCTTTTTCTAATGACGTGGTGCTGTGGCTGAGATGGGCAGCCTCGCCATGGTGACACTGCCCGTGTAGATGTAGATGAGGTCAGCTCATCTACATCTGCCTCTGCCATTCCAGTGGCCCATGGAGCTTTGGTTGCTGGGTCTCCAGGGACATAAGGCACAGTAACCACTGTTCAAACAGGACAGTCCTCAGCGTAAAGAGGACAGTAGAAATGATAAAAATATGTAATGTTTGAAATATGTATTTATTAACCAGCAAATTGATTACATTACATTACTGAATCCATAAAATAGCTCCGTGAATAAATAAATTTCAAAAATAACATTCCTATTAAAAATAATGTATTTTCATGTTCATCAAAGCAAAATAATCTTTATATTGGATATCTGAACACTGAAAAAATAGCCAAACAGATTATTCTTGATATATATTCATATACTATATTTGAATCTGCTACTTAGCCATTTCTCTTTTCATGAAATTCATAGTTTATCTCTCATCTTTTTAATCTCTTCATAAAATTACAATCTTCTTTAAATTTTTGCTTTATCATTAATAAATTTAAAATGATAGACACCTTCAATGGACTCTTCTCTGCTGCCCATCGTATGTTAGAGAAAACATTCTCTCTAACCGTGCTGAGGTATCAAGTAAGTGCAGCAGAATTTCTGCTAAGTGGAGGATAATCTTAATTCTATTTCTCATATATAAGTGTGTAAATATTTCAGGCCAAATGTTTCCATAGATACTATCTTTATGCCTCCATTCAGAGTACATTTTTTTTGGCAAAGATAGGATAAAACTTGTCAAATAAATTGTGTCTATTTATGGTTCTTTTGAATCTCTCACCATATTTAGATCATGCAAAACTGTAAGACTTCTCAATTTAATTCCATTCTGGTACAGAGTATAAATTTATCCAATTAAAAATAGGTGCTCCCTCGAAAGATTTTTCCCACAAATTGAGATATACTAAAGCAAAGCCATACAATTTGAAAATTAAAGCTCATACATGGCTAGAGCTTTCACCAAGTTAATGTGTTCGATTTCTTCTTTAATTTTATTCCATTTACATTTAACACAATTACCAATAAAGTCTAACTATTTGCTTTCCATTTGTCCCATCTGTTTTGTTCTCTTCCTTTTTTTAATTAATAAAGTGCTATTGTAGTTATTGAATTTTGTTGGACATTTAAATGTGCATTTTTGTATTTTTCTTTTAGATGTTGCCTAGAGATTGCAGTAAGCATCCTTGATTTACTAGATCTACCTGGAAGTACTGCTTTTATTACACTCAGAGTAACACAAGTGTGATGGCCGTGGTGCTCTGAGGGTTCTCAGGGTGCTCAGAGAACCCACTGTCAGGAAAGTAGCTGGTGGATAGGTTCTAGCTGTGCACCTGCAGACACACCATAGTGTCATGCCAAGGCTTTGTTCCCCTCCCCGGGCTGTTCTCAGTCAATCATGGAGCATGGTAGGAGTGCAATGCTAGCTTGTTCCTGCCAACAGGGTTCCTTTGACAGACAATCTTTGCTGGGGCTCCCTTGCAAACTGGCTGAGACCACAGTCTGAGGCTCTTCCTGTCCAGTCCTTCCTCCTCTCCTCTCTTCTTTCACAGGTGTCAGACCAGCATGATGGTCTGAAGATTCTACGCACCCAACCCCCTTGTCCTCCCCTGTGTCTTTCACAGGTGTATCCCCAATACATCTCTGCAAGTCTCAGTTTTTAAAAAAACATCTGCTTCTTGGTACCAGATCTGACAAAAGAAGAATCTTACAGGAATGTAATTCCATTCATTCCCTTCTGTCCTTTTGCTACTATGTATTGTATTAGCCCATTTTCATACTGCTATGAAGAAATACCCGAGACTGGGTAATTTATAAAGAAAAAGAGGTTTAATGAACTTACAGTTCCACATGGCTGGGGAGGCCTTACAATCATGGTGGAAGGTGAAGGAGGAGCAAGGGCATGTCTTACATGGTGGCAGGCTAGAGAGCATGTGCAGGGGAATTGCCTTTTATAAAACCATCAGATCTCATGAGACTTACTCACTGTCAGGAGAACAGCATGGGAAAACCCGCCCCCATGATTCAATTACCTCCCACCGGGTCCCTCCCATGGCATGTGGGGATTATGGGAGCCACAATTCAAGATGAGATTTGGGTAGGGACACAGCCAAACCATATCATGTGTTTTACAAGCTTGGCAAACATAGTTGCTATTGTTGCTTTGCACAATTAACATCTCTCATATTTGTACACATATTTTATCTTTCTCCAGCTCTGTGTTCCTTTTGCAATTCCAATTTCCAGTTAGAATTGTGTTCCTGCAATCTGAAGAATTTCCTTTACTGTTTCTTGACGTATGGTCTGATGGCAATTCATTCTCTTTGCCTTTGTTTGTCTGAAAGTGTTGTTATTTTTACCTTCATTTTTGAATTTTTTTTCTGAATATAGATTTCTAGGTTGGCAGGATCCCCCCTCCACCCCTTTATTTAAAAATATCATTGCATTATTATCTGGCTTCCACTAGACCATCTACTATTATTCCACATCTTTCATGTTCTGTTTGGCTCTTTACCTTTTTTCTTTTATTTCTCTGTTTTATCTCGGATATTTTCTATTAACTTATCTTCAAGTCTACCAACTCTGTTTTCAGCAGTGTCCAGGCTATTTTTAAATCCATTGAATGGCTTTCTGATTTTGGATATTGTGTTTTTTTCTGCTCTAGAATGTCTGTTTGACTTCTTTTATAGATTTTAATCCCTGTTGAAATTCTCTGTCTTCCATTTTGTATATCTCTCCCTGGCACTTAACATATTAATCATAGTTATTTTTAAAACCTTATCTGCTAACTCTGATATCTGAATCACCAGTGAGTCTGATTTTCTTGTCTGTGGGTAAAAAATTATAGAGGAAGGCATGCTTTTCCTCCGAAGAGTTTGACATTTCCACTTTACTCTCCCATATTTCAATAATTATATCCCTTCCAGTTTCTTCTCAGTATCTTAAATTAGTTAATTAGAAAAACAATTTTTTTAGCTTTTATGATTGTTACTGGCAGGAGAATCAGAGAAATAGAAGCTACTTCATCATGATTGAAACTAAAGTCTTTTTCTTTCTTTTAGTTAGTTAAGTTTCAATGCCTTCCAATTATGGCTTTGTTTTCAATAATTGTACTTGCTTAAGTCCTTTGACACTCCAATTAGTTAACATTTTAAGCAAAGATTTCAAAATGTTTTTTATAATATATCATTGATAGCATTGCAGGATATTTAGGTTGATTTACAGAACTCACATATTCCTAAAATTAAATTTATGATAGGTAATAAGGGGAGAGATTTATTTCCATGATATGTATATTTATACAACATCAGTGTAACCATAAAACATTTATAGTTCAATCATTCCGTGTGTGTGTGTGTGTGTGTGTGTGTGTGTGTGTGTCTATAGTGTCAGTTTGAATGGGCCACAGGGTGTCCGGATTAACCATTGTTTCTGGGTGTGTCTGAGGGTGTGTCCAGATTGGATTAGCATTTGAGTTGGTGAATTCAGTAAAGTAGATTTCCCTCCCCAGTGTGGGTGGGCATTATCCAATCTGTCGAGAGCCTGAATAGAACAAAAGGTGGAGGAAGGAGAAATTTGCCCCTATCTTCCTGCCTCAATGCTTGATCTGGGAAAACTCATTTAATCTTCTTCTGCCCCTGGAGATGTTAACATCAGTACCCTAGTTCTCAGGACTTCTTTCTCAAAATAAATTAAATCCACAACTTTCCTGTGTCTGCAGCTTGCAGACACAGATTGTAATGCTTCTCAGCCTCCATAATCACTTGAGCCAATTCCATAATAAATCTCTCTCTCTACACACACACACACACACATACACACACACACACACATACACACACACACACACACCCCTATCTATCTATCTGTCTGTCTATCTATCTATCTATCTATCTATCTACTGTTGCTTCTGTTTCTTTGGAGAGCCTTAAATAAATGCATACATGCATACATACATACATATATGGACATTCCTCAGTGTCCACAGGGGATTGGTTCTAGCCCCTCTGTCTCTGGTAGATACCAAAATTCAAGGGTACTCAAGTCCTTTATAGTCAGACCTCTATATCTGCAGGTTCCACATTCGAAGATATGAAGATATGGAGGACTGACTCGCTCTCTGTCTCTCTCTCTCTCCACACACACACACACACACACAAATTTACACATGCATAAAATGATATATATAAATATACATAATTCAAAAACTTGATGGCTGTGACATCTATTTCAGTTGGTAGACTATCATACCTTGTTTGACAAAATTGTGGATTCTATTTGCACCACAACCAACTCCTGGTTTCCATCCTGCTGTGGTTTGAATGTGTTCCCCAAAGTTCATGTGCTAGGTTACATCACAAGGGCATTGCCCTCATGAATGAATTAATGCTCTTATTAAGAGAGTGGGCACCTGATGAAAGGATGAGTTTGACCCTCTCCCCTTCTCTCTCTCTCTCATACGCTCTTTTGCTCTTCAGTTTCCACTAAGGGATGATGTAGCAAGAAGGCCCTCAACAGATGCCGGTCCCTTGGATCTCCCAGCCTCTAGAACTATAAGAAATAAATCCCTGTTCTCTAAAAATTACCCAGTCCACATGTTCTGTAATAGCAGCACAAAATGGACTAAGACATGTCCTGAGGCTTCTTAGTTTAGCAAGAAACTTACCATAGTGCTGTACTCCACCAAACTTTGTATTTGTATTATCACTGCAAAACAACTAACTTTATCTCAATGTTGAATTGTTTGACTGAACTGCATCTACAATAATATCCGATGTTTCACTTCCAAGAGGATAAATTTCTCAAGGCCCTGCTTTGATTCCATAAATTAAATTTTGAAAATTGGAATCCTTTATTGGAATTAACGTAGTGGGTTTGCTGTTCACAGCATCTCATGGTGCTGGTTGAGTAATTGAAGAGCTGGCCTCTCAGAAGGTCTGTGAAGCCCTTCTTCTGTTACTGGAACCCACACGTGAGCAGCTAGGGCCTCATTCTTCATGTGTGCACACGGATGCTTAGAATTTGAAGTGAGCAAAATTAATTTAGAACAAGAATGAATTGATCTAAATAAAAAGTCATGCTTCATAGAATATATGTAAATGTGCCTTCTGTATCTGCATGTGTTACATTATGATTTTTGGTCACAGTTTTTTATGAATAACAACTAACTTTTTAAAGTAGATGCTGGTACATTTTCAGCAAATTTGTGTCTTCTACTTTTTATAAGTTCAGGATTATCACCATGGCTCCACAGTGAATGGTCCATGTCAATAAACATTTCATGCAGCTTACACATATTCATCATCACTGAGAAATAAATGGCATAGAATTTTGTGTTAAAAACAGCAACATTTTTAATTTTGTACTTTTTAAAGCTTATTGTACTGAAAGGATTCACTGCAAAGTTAAAAAGTTTTATCAAATGATAAATTGATTACCTGTATTCAACAATGGCAAAGCCGGCAAAGCCACCAAAGCAGAAGTCTCTGACCCATGATGCTCTGCAGTGGGGCCCACTCGGCTTGCACTTCCCTGCAAATGTGTATTTGTTTCTAGAGCTGCCCTAACAGCTTATCACAAATTGGAGCACGTAAAACAACAGAAATTGTATCTCTCACAGTTCATGAGGCCAGAAGTCTGAGACTGAGGTGTCAGCAGGGCTGGATTCTTCTGGAGGCTGTGAGGGTGCATTCCTTTCTCCCCTCTATGGCTCCTACCATGGCAGCAGCCCTTGGTGTTCCTTGGCTTGTAGATGGACCCCTCTAACTTCTGCCTTTATCTTTACATGGATTTCTTTCCTGTGTGTGTTTTCTCCTTGTCTCTATATGCAAATATCCATGCTATTGGATTTATGGCCCACCCTACTCCAGGATGACCTTATCTCAACTTGATAACATCTTTAGAGAACCTGTTTCCAAATAAGGTCACATTCACAGGTACTAGGGATAAGGATTTGAAATTATTTTGTTGGGGGGACACAATTCAACGCACATATACTTTCCTTATTATTTCCTATGTTTCCCCTGCATGGCAGCATCCTGCCACTGGGCATCTCACAGACCACGAGGCTTTGGGTCATGGCCCAACTGTTTGGCTCGGCCAGTGCCCAGCAGGGGCAGCAGCATCCGCACTGGAGGACTGAGGTCCTTCCTGCTCGCACCTGAGCACTGTACCTCCTTTAGATGTAAGAGCTGGTGCTATCCCTGAAGGGGGCATGTTAGTGATCATTGTCTGAAAGGTGTGGAATAGAGAGGCAAGTGTTTGAGGTATTCTTCCAGATCAGACCACCTGTTCTGTGCATGTGTGCCTCCTGCTGTTCTGACCCCAGGACACCCCCCTCCCCATGACCAGCCCCTTTGCTTTTCTCCTTGGGATGCCCAGCGACAGCCTCTGCCAGCCTGACCCAGGACAGGCATCCAGAAAGTGCGAGGAGGGATGTTTTGGAGGCTTAGGAAAAGCAACTGCAATGGCCTGAATGTTTGTGTCCCCCAAATTCGTGTGTTCAAGCCTAATCCCCAATGTGATTCTGTTAGGATGTGGGGCCTTGGGAAGGTGATAAAGTCATGGGGGCAGATCCATCCCGAATGGGATCAGTGCCCTTATAAAAGAAGCCACAGAGATCTCCCTTGCCCCTTGACCATTTGAGGACACAGGGAGAAGGCATCATCTAAGAACCAAGAAGCAGCTCTCAGCAGACATACAGCCTGTTGGCAGCTTGATCTTGGACTTCCCAGCCTCCAGAACCATGAGAAGTAAATATTTGTTGTTAATAACACACCCAGTTTTTGGTATTTTGTCATTTCAGCCCAAAGAACTAAGATGGCCACAGGCATCTCCAGCAGAACCAAGAGATGAAGAGGGGATTTGGACACAGGCAGATCTGGGCAGGGGTCCGAGTCCTGCCACGTCACAGTCACAGGGACCCTGCCAGGCCTTGGTGTGTCCACTCTAAGACAGCACCCAGCGCTGCCTCACTTCATCTGGGCACTGGGAGAATTCGTGCATGTGAAACTCTCAGCACAGTTCCAGCCGCTTCACAAAGGTCTTTTCCCTGCTCTATCCCCAGCACGTAGAACAGTCGGTTTCCCGCACATAGCAGACACTCAAAGCTGTGTGTTGAATTAACACATCGTCCTAATAGCCGTGATTATTTCTGACAACACTCTCGGGTGAGTGGCTATCACCCCCATGCCTGCCTTGTGATCCTACCATGGTCATTGCCTCCGACCCGACCCTGTCATACACACACGTCTGGAAAGGTGTCCACCTGGCTTTTGACAAGGGACCCCCCTGATCTTGGGCCCCCACTTGGCCTCATGGCACCCACCCCATGTGCTTGTCCAGTGGCGGTCAGGTGTCCTGGGCTTCTGCTGGTCTAGAAGGGGACCTGGAAGCATCCCATGGGCACGTGGTGGGTGTCCGGCCACAGCTGAGCCCCAGCCCCTGCTCCTGTGGGGAGAGAAAAGGCAAACGTGAGCATGCTCACTATTCCGGGTGATCCCCCTTCCCCATCACCAGTGTGGCCTCAGAACCCACCACCTTTCAGGGGTCTTTGCAGGCACTGGCGTCTCCTCCTTACCACTTGGTTGGAATTAGCTGAGAGTGGACTCCCTTCCCTATGGGAGAAGCTGTAAGCCTTGGTGTTAATTCCAGAGAGCCCCTCTGCTGGGCTACTTGGCATTTGGACTCTCTGTCAAGGGGGAAAGCCTGAGCCCTCCAGAAAGCTGAACCTGAGCGTCAGGCTTTGGTGCTAACTCTGAGAGAGGAGGGCAGGCCTGGGATGCAGGGAGGGAGGGAGCCACAGTCAGGCAGGTGATGGAGCTGGGCCCCGGTGAGTACAAGGGTTGCTCAGCCTCCTGGGAGAGACTGTCCCCTGAGAAGTGCCACAGAGCGGAGGGGAGGATTCTGTCCATGGGCGCCCACGTTCTGCTGGCCAGACCCCCCGCCTGTGGTACACAGGGCCACACGTGGTCCAGGGCATCTGTTGTTCCAGCATCGACAGGGGTGGGGTGTGGGCGACCCTGTGGTGGAGCTGATCTGGGGGCCACAGAAGCAGTGTCTGAGGGGTTGTGTGAGGGGCACAAGGAGTTAGCTGCTGCCTCCAGACCACCAGGAAGAGGTCAGAGAGAAGGACCCAGGAGGCAAGGCCGCGAGCAGAACTGGCCAGTGCGAGGCCGATGAGCTTTTTCTCTTGTCTGCACTTGGCCTAAAGACGGCATGAACTCAGAGAAGGGCTCCAAGAAAGGGTGGGTGCAGCACACAGGCTGCTTGGTGTGAGGTCTGGGGGTGTTGCTGAGATCATCCACAGGAGTCAGCTTCAGCCGTTCCAGGAAAGCAAGCCTGGGGCAGGGGTGCTGCCTCCTGGGGGTCTTCACCCCAAGATCCCAGCTGACATGGATGCTGTGTGTGGCCAGGGCAGGGCCTGGTGGCTGGGCCCCAGAAGGGATGGGCGGGTTGGGTAGACCTGGTTGGAACCCGCCTTTGCTACCTCCCACTGCACAGCCCCAGGCAGATGGCACAGACTCAGCCCAACACCATGTGCTGTGGATGAGTCCCTTGGGCACAGGGATGCAGGCCCTCGGGCACACAGAGACACCCCCTCCTGCATCTGTCCGCTGTGAGGGTTCCACCTGTCCTGTCACCTCAGTGCCTGCCATAAAGGCCGGGTTTGATAACTTGCCCCTGGGACATCAAGACCCCACCACCCTGACCTTCTAGCACCATGCCACAGGGGTTGGAGGGCTGGGGTTGGAGCACAGGGACGTGGGGACACGAGGTGGTCCCTCCTTTTTCCCTCCCAAGATGGGTGCTGACGGCGGCCAGTGTGGGAACCCAGCCAGCGCCTCCTGGCTCACTCCACTGTGCGCTTTCCAGCCTATCACAAATGCCATCAAAGAAGCAATTTTCTTCCTCCTTTACCGTGAGAAGGGTGGTCAGGCCCAGCCTCGACATGGGAAATGTGTTCCACGCCGACTGACTTCAAGTCACAGCACGGGCCTGCATCCAACCGTGGAACTAATTACTCGGCAGCCTGAGGGCGATTTCCAGCACAGGTGCGGCCGGCTCGCAGTGCTGTTCCCAGGCCCCGAGGGGATGCTGGCGGGAGGCTGGGGAGCTGCCTGGGTTTCACCTCCACTCCTGGGCCCAGGCAGGGTCCAGGCCTTCTCAGGTCACCCCCTAGGCAGCAGGCGTGACCCATCACAGCCTGCTTTGTGCCGAGTGCTGCACCAAACCCCAGGATCACTGAATCCCGCTGTCAGTCCCATGAGGATGGAGCAGCCCCACACCTGCCTGTTCCTGCACCAGGAATCTGAGGCCCGGGAGGGGCATGGCTTGCCCCAGATCACCGGGTTTGGAGCGGAAGTGGGGCTGCTTGTCCAGTCTAGTCAGTAGGAGCTTGGGCCCTGGGGCCAGGGGGCTTGAGTCCAAATCCAGGTCTTCCCTCCATGGCACCAGGACCTTAGGAGCAATTCCTGCTCTCCTCTGGGCCCGGGCTCCGCTCCTGGGAGTGGCGAGGTCATAGCTTCCCTCCCAGGGCAGCTTGAGCCCTGCCGATGGTGGCTCTCTGGGGCCAGCCCCAGTTCCAGCGTGGCACCCCTCAAGGCTCACGAAGCCTGTCAAGCTCATGTTTGTCGCCCAGGCAGCCTCCTCTTTCCCAGGCTCCCAGCAGATCTAGGGCATCTGTTAGCTGCCTTGAAGGTTTTGAACTTAATCCGTGTAAACCCATCCACAGAAGTGCATGGAAACCACCTACAGAAGCACCTGGACTGCTCCAAGCTCACCCTGGGCCAGCTCAGCAGCACGACAGGAGCTACTCCCTCATTCATTTGTTCAGTAAGTATTCGCTCAGAGCTGGACACCCCAGAAAGGCCTCCAAGCACATCATCCTCTCACTGCTGTCCTCAACCTCAACTTAAACTCAGGAAACTGAGGCCCAGAGATGCCTTGGCATTCCCCGGGTTCCATGCTCTCAGGACCCTAGCTTGGATTTGAACCTCAGTCCTAGCAATGCTTGAAGAGCACCCACCCACTGGGGTGGCACAGACCCTGGATGGGGCGGGGGGGTCTCAGCTCCCAAGAGGAGACTCAGGCCAGGGTGGGCCGGGGTGGGCGGGCGTACCCACCTTCTTCCACCCAGTGCATGCTTCCCGTTTGCTCCCACCTCTCCCGAGTGCAGGCGGAAGTTCCTCTGGCCTGAATGAGAACCAAAAACGCTCCCTAGGACTTCTGGATGCACAGCTGAGACCAGGAGGAAGCTGACGAAGGCAGCCGGGCTAGGGGCACCAGGCTTCTCTCCTCACCTCGCATGGCATCAAGACAGCAAAAGGGAATCAATGTGGAGCCCCCAGCAAGCAGGCGTGGCCTCAGGCAGGGCAGCGTGGGCTGGGGAGGGGGCTGAGCCCGGCTCCTCATAGACTTGTCTCCATCCCCAACCTGCCCTTGCCCAGGGACACAGAACTCCCACCAGTCAGACTTTGATCTCCCCCAGCCAGACAAGAAGGGGGCAGCTATTCCATAAAGAAATTAAATGCGTCGTTGAGGATGCTGTGCCTGCAGATTGATATTTATGGAATGAACAGGGAGACCCCCAAGCAGCCCGTATGTATGGCTGTTGATGTCCCCGAGCAAAGGTGTCCCCGAGGTCCTCTTTCTGGCATTCACCAGTCCCCTCTGTGCCCCAACTGGCATTTCCTTTGCTTCATTCTTCAAAATACCCGGTGATCCCGGGTTGTCCATGCCTGTATTTGAGAAAATCCACTACAGAAAGGAAAGAGAGGCAGAAAAATACATAGCTGACCCTGCAGGAAATGAACACAACACACGGAGCAGGAAGAAAACCCTTAAAAAGCCAGAATTCCCATCCTCTGTGGAACAGGAGGGTGGAGCCTTCCCGGACCCAGAACAGGGTGCCGTGCGAGGACGCAGGTGAGAGCAAGAACAGCCCCTGGAAAGATGCGCTTGCCAAGACTGAGACAGAACAACAGCCAGCTGCGGTAGAAGTCTTGGTGGAGAAAGTTGACGAAATCTTCCAGAAAGTCAGATGGAAAGACAATGAAATGGAAAACGTGGTAACAGAGGAGAGGAACTGAATTCTCTTGAGAAGAAATGAGACCCCACGTCACTCAGCAAGGAAGGCTTGAGCCGGACTCTGGGCTGCAGCCCACTGCTCGCTGGCGGTCCTGACCCCGCGGGATCCCTCCCTGGGTGGGCGCCTGGTCCCACTGGCCTCGGGTGGTGGCTCTGTGATTCACCGTCTTTCCTTTGTGCCCTGGGTGTCTCGTTCTCCCTGCTAGAACCAAGGACTGACAGGGTATTGTCTCTTATGTAAGTGAATCTCACAGCAATTTTATTCTTTCCAAACTCTGAAGGCATAAGAATAACAGGAAGGTCATGATGGGATGGGGCAGCGGCAGGCGTGGGGCCTCTGGGCTGTCTGCCGGCTCCTGGGGAAGTCAGCAGGCACCCCTGCCACCTCTGCTACTGTGGCCAATTCATGTCGCTGAGCATTCCAGCTCAGGGAAGGCTGGACTGAAGGGAAATGGATCCAGGGCCCCCTTAAAACCATGGAACTATAACCCAGCTGATACCAGGGGCCTCACCTCGGCTGCCTGCCCTGATTTTTTGTCTCATCTTTTAGGATTTTACTAGGACATTTAAATCAAGCTGCACGCAAACGTGTCAACCACAGTGCAATAAAGAAAAATGCCCTCCTATGATGAAAGAGCCGTGGTCTGCGATAAACATGAAGGCTGAGGCTCTGGTGGCATTTAAAACTGGGGAAGAGCTGAGCTGCAGTAAAGCATATCTGCGGTCGCTTCCCCATTGTCACAGCCCCCCGTGCATTTCTGAAAAATTAACAAGGCTAATGTTCGAGATCTAGAAAGCTGCCATTTCCCACATACCAGCGCTTTCTCATAATCTTTTTGTGTAGGAATCAAAGGGTAATGGGAGCCACGTGCTGTTTATGGAGCAGCAACGGGTTTTCCGTGCTGCCCCGTGACGGCGGCTCAAGGAAATGCACACTCTCCTGGGAATTCGACTTTCTGGCTTTATTCACACAGTGTCTATTTCAAGATGGGCTTTGTGGTTTTGGGTCAAGAAATGAGACAGATGAGTCTGTTCTGCACAGTTTTAGCGTGCTGTCAGAGAAGCTGGTGTGGCTCTGCACCTACACACGTTCCAGGGAGCCTCCGTGTCACGTCCTTCCCGCTGCCTCCAAAGGGCAACACGGCTTCAGAGTCATGTGGCTGACGGGTCCAACAGCTCTTCCAAAAGCAGGTTTTCCCTTCTGCTCATGCAGGAAACCCAGTCTCTTTTCTTGGGCTGGGAGCTTCCGAAGAGGGGTCCTCTCTTTTCAGGGCAGCTGGATGACAGCATTCAGGTGCTTCTTGGGAGATGGAGGTAGAAGGAACGGGGACGACTCCCTTCATGAACAGCTGAGAAAACTGAAATAGTAGGAATATCAGCTCTGGACCCAGAACGCAGGTCTCACCCTCTGTTCCTTGTTCTGTCACCTTTCCCTTCTTTTCTCACCCACATCAGAGCTCACGCTGGCTTCCAACTTTCCCCGTTTTCCCATCCGGTTCTGTGCGTGGCACACCCAAAACCCAAGACTCACTGGTCTTGGCTCTGGTGTTCCAAGGGTCCCAGGCACAGCCTCCTGCCCTCTGGGAGGTTTCCTCCTCCCCCTTCCCTCTGCTTCTATGTTGGGTCAGTCTCTGGCACCTCACACCCAGCCTCCTCTTCTCTCCCTGCTTCCAGTTCCACGGGTGACCCATCCATCCCAACCTTGGCTCCCCACTACGACAGAACTAATCTTCCAAAGCCAGCACCTTCATTGTGCCAAACTTCTGCAGCAGCCTAGAATCTCTCCTGAGGACCCCAAGTCACTAGCGAGGTGAACAGTACTCTGTTCACCTCCTAGATCCCAAAATCATGTCCTCCTAGCACCTCAGAATGTGACCTTATTTGGAAACAGGGTCTTTGCAGATGTAATTAGTTAAGGATCTTGAGATCGAGTCCTCCTAGATTTCAGGTGGGTCCTGAATCTAATAACCAGTGTCCTCATAAGGACAAGAGGGACACAGACACAGATGTGACATGGGGGCAGAGACCGGGGCAATGTGTCCACAAACCAGGGAATATCAGCAGCCACCAGGAGCCAGAGAGAGAGGCATGGCACAGGTCCCCCAGAGCTTCTGGAAGAACTAACGTTGGAGATACCTTCATTTCTGCCTTGTGTCCCCCAGAACTGTAAATAAATCCATTTCTACTGTTTTAAAGACTCCCTGGTTTGTGGTACTTATCTATACTGGCCCCAGGAAACTAACACTGATTACTTAGGCTGGACAAGAAAGCCAAGGTCTGCATCGGCTAGCCAACCTTCAACACCATCGGGCCATTCATGTGCAAGCCTTAGGGACAGAGTCTTAGCCCTGTCCCCCCTCGACACCATCCCACCTGTGACAGCATCCTGGCTCAGCCCTGGGGTCACAGCCCAGCTCTGCTGCAGGAGCCTTCGGATGCCCACAGCAAACAAGCCTACACTTGGAGCTTCAGGCATCATTGTTCCTTTGAGGACTCCAAGTCTTGCTTTCAGCCTGGCCCCTTCTCCAGGCAAGGCCCTCATTTTAAATTCCTGCAAGGACTTCCCCGTTGGAGACTCTGTGACAGTCATGCCCTCCTTCCATGCCAGCGCCTCTTCCTGTCCCGGGGGTCCTGGAAGAGGCATTAATGCAAACACAGTCTGCCAGACTCCCGGGTCAGGGCTGTATGGAGCATCCATCGGGAGATGTGTCCTTGACTTTAACCTGAAAGCGTGGATGGCTCCTGTCAGCCATTCACGCTTAGGGCGAGGAAACACCTGTTACAAAGGGAAGCTCTGATGCCTGCTAGAAACCACTGTCCCTATAGCCCTGGGAGGCAAGTTGAGACTCCAGCCTCCTTTGCTCCATGTTTAATAGTTTTTCATCTTCTCTGATCGCCTGTGATAACTCTGGCTTGATGTCTTGATAGAAAAGGTGTCTAAGGGCCCTAAAGGACCTCACCAGTAGGGTAGGGATCCTCTTGTCTGATGAGCCTGTGGCTCGGGCTGGAGCTGGCAGCTGCCTCAATGCAGAGGCTACATCTTTGATCAATATCTGAACTTAAAGGTAGGAGTCTTGGCAGGGGTGGAGCCCACGCTGTAGCCTGGCAGGGCTGGGCCAGCAATGACCTCCCAGCTCAGTGGACACTTCCTGTTAAGTTGAGCAAATGGGCTTTGAGTGAGGGAAATTACTAATGGGAAACATAAAGAACCGAGACTGTGTCATGGTGACAGCTATGGCTGGTGCGGAGGCTTCTCGTCTCTACAAATGAAATATGCTGTCAGGAAGGCCCTGCCTAGCACTTACTACTGGCCCCACACAGCCGTAAACACATTGCAGGGTTTAACTCATTTCATCCTTCCAATGACTGTTATGCAAGGAGGAAATACTCTGATCCTCATTTTACAGACAGGAAAACTAAGGCACAGAGTAGCAGTGGCAGAGTGGGGTTGGATGCAGCCAGTCCAACCCTGAAGTCCACACCCTTCACCACTGGGCTCAGCACTGGGATATTAAGCCAACTCCACACAAGGTTGGGGCAGTTGGGGATGTACCTGCAGGACAGAGGCAGCCCTGCTCTACCAGACAGTGGGATGCAAGCTGCTGTGATAGATAAACCTAGAAACCTCAACCGCTCAACGCAATGAGATGTGATTCTTGCTCCCATGAAGTCCAGTCAGTGGTGGCCGAGCTCCAGGCACAGATGTAGATGCTGCCGTCTTGAACCCCTGGCTTCCGAGGTCTCCCTGAGCATGGACATCCAGCCAGCAGTGGAAGGAGGAGAGGAGGAGGGAGGAAAGGAGGAGGGAGGATGGAGAAGAGATGCTTTGGTGGAGAGAGAGGTGACTATGGGCCAGGCTTGGTATGGTGGTCATGACCTCTGCTCATACTCCAATGGCTAGAATGAGTCACATGACCACTCCAATGCTCAGGGCTGGAAAATGTGGCTTGAGGGGCTTGGTGACTGACTGGGTGGTTCTGGTGGGCAGGTTTTCAGCTCCGTGCACCTGAGGCTGGTGGTGCTCCCTCCTTAGCTGCCAACTGTCTCCTGTCCCCTCCCTGCATTGTCAGTCTGGACCAGGACAGTAGCATGGAACTGTGCAGAGGACATTTTGGGGGAAAAAGACCCATTCCTGGGTCTGTGCAGTGGGACCATGGGGTCACTGTTTTCTGCAGTGGGAGGGGGATACTCAGGGCTACCTCTCCAGGCTTTCTTTTGGTGGGCTCTGGGACACTCGTCTCCCTTTGATTACCTGCCCCTCACTTTCCCTGTGAGATGGGGTAAGATGTCATGACCCAGTTTGAGATGTGGTATGAGCCAGGATGCTAGGTTGGCACAAGTCCTTTCACCAGTATGCCCTGCAGCTGGGCAGATGAAACCAGAACCCAGCAAATGAAATGTTCCTTTGCTGTTGTCCCTGGGTACTCCTGGGGACTTGCAAAGGAGGAGTGGTGTCTAGAAATAACAATAATGATTATGGTAAACAAACTTGATTGAGGGTTTCATTGACAGTGTTCTAAAAACTTGACATGTGCCAATTTGTCCTCCTAACAATGATATGATAAATATTAATATTGTCTCCATTTTACTGGTAAATAAACTTGAGACACAGATTTGTTCATATAACTAGTAAGCTTCATGGAGGAGCTTTAAACTCAGACAGTCCAACTGCAGGGCTCACACTCTGACTGTGATTTCCTTGAGCCCTGCAAATGACATTATTCAATAGGAAAAATGTTGCTCTCTCACTCCTACCAATTACACTAACAAAGCAGTATTTTTGGTTTACCCTGCATTTGTGAAATGACATTCTCTTGACTACTTCTAGAAGACCCAGGTATCGTTGTTTCTGGAGGCAGCCTGTGAATTCCCCAGCAGTCAGGGATGGTTTGATCCTTCTGTCCCTCCTGACCATCTGGAGAAGACAATCTGGAGATTGTCTGATCCGTGCAGGTTCATGGGGTTCTGGAAAGTGTACAGGGGAATAAGCCACAGAGTAAGAGAGGAGGGGACAGTCAGCATGAAGCTCCCTCAGGGGACCAGGGTGCAGGATGCAGCAGGAAGCCTAGGGGTCTTGGTTGTATGATTTCTATAGAGTCACAGACAGGCAGATTGCCTGCTGGAACTAAATTTTAGACACATTTTGACTGACTGAGCATTATTTTTTAGAGTTCAGATTGATTTAATACATTCAATAATCTAGAAATCCTGGTTTCTCTTGATAAACCAGAAGAGCTGGCCACATTAGGTTCAATGTTCCCCAGGACAATAAGCTGGGTTCACACGGCTCTTTGGGTGGGGACTGTGTACTGCCAGTCCCTGCTGACTGGGCCACATCCAATTGTTGACACCAGTTGGCCAAGCCCCTCACTGCAGACATTATGATCTGGGCCCTTTGGTATGGGGGCAGCCAGGTTCTGAAAACTGCTTGGGGAGGGCGTAGTTCTCAAATTTCTAATATAGATTAATGCAGTTGAATGTTTGTGATCAATCTCTCATAGATTTAATCAATAACATGAAGTCATATGTAGTTGTGTGGGTCCTACTTTACAGCCACAAAAGATCAGCTGTTTTTAGAAACTGTGAAAACTTATATCTTAATAATATATTTTTATGAAAAAGGTAGTTCCAGGAGTTCATGTCCCATTTTACACCTGCAGTTAACTAAGTCCTGCAGGCTCACAACCACTTCTCAGGGGATGTTGACGAAAATGGTATGGCCAATTGGTGTCAACAACTGGATGTGGCCCAGTCGGCAGGGACTAGCAGTACACAGTCCCCACCCAAAGAGCACCTAAGAGTCGTGTGAACCCAGCTTATTGTCCTGGGGAACACTGAGCCCTTTGTGGCCAGACCTTCTTGTTTATCAAGAGAAACCAGGATTTCTAGATTATTAAATATGTACTATCTACACTCTAAAAAATAATGCTCAGCCAGTCAAAATGTGTCTAAAATTTAGATCCAGCAGGCAATCTGGATCTATTTTTCTGGACCCACTCTTCAAATGTGCGCTCTAGGAGAGGGTCATGGCGGCGTCCACACTTATAAAGTGGACAGAGTTCAGAACAGCATTTGCCCTACCAAAGCATTTTTCAGGTGACATAAGGTCCACGGCCGTTTTCGCTAAACTGGATCCCTTCATTGTGTTTCAGGTCTATTTATAGCACCGGGAAATGCTGATGAGGTCAGTGCTCACAGGTGGGGCTGGAGACTGAAAAAGCACTTTTCCACCTGCAGGGGAATCTGAGCCTCCCAACACCTGTCAAGTGAGAGAGAACAGCTTCCACCTGAGACTCCTGGATGGGTGTGGGGGCAGGGGTGGTGAGCTCTGAGCTCTGGCCTCTGTCTGAAGGCAGCTGCAGAGGGGTTTTTGTCATCCTACCTCTGCTGCTGTGACCCTGAGGGACCCAGCGATATGACCCAGGAAGCCCAGGTGGCAGGGAGCCCTGGCCCCCTGCTCTCAGTCCCTCAGAGGCCGATGGCTCAGCTCCCTTCCTGGAGGGGGCAGTTCTGCTCCAGGCTATCTTTGGGCGGGACCTGAATTGAGTGAGACCACCAAGGCCATCTCTAACTGGATTGTAACATCTGCTGCCTCACTGCGAATGCCAGGGCCAGGGTGTCATGGGAAGATGCTGACTCTGGGTTTTGTGTCTGAGATGGCCGGAGCAAGTGATTGCAAAAGGCCATTTACCATGCTCACCCTCCACCGTTGACTGGGTCTCTTGGAGTGACATGGACAGTGTTGCGGTGACCAGTAATCAAATGCATCTTCTGGCCGGCCTGGCGATGACCCGGCATGCTGTCTGTCCAAACCCTGATGATGGCAGGTGTCAACCGAGACCCTGCACTCTGCCCCTGCCTCTGTGCCTCACTCTGGCGGGGCAGCTCCGAGGGGCTATGCAAGGGCCCCTACCTGGGCAAGACCTCTGCAGAGCCCAGCCCCAGCTGGCAGGGGTGTTCATGGCATGGAGTCCCCTGCCCGCGGCAGACAGCGATGTCTCCTGGCACCAAGGCCACTGCACCTGCGGTTTCAGATTCCTTCCCTGTCCCGTCGCTGGTGTTGTGGGTGATTTATTTGCTGCTTGGCAGAACTCAGCAGCCCTTAGGAAATGGATGTCAGCTTATTGTGTTTGGGGGAGGGATGGATATGTACTTTCCGCTACATAAACTGGAGGCTTCCTAGCTTTACGTCCGTCTGCCCACAGGCTGTGTTGGGAGCCTCGGCCTGGCCCTCACCCACTCACCTTCTTCATGGTCTTTGCCTGCCAACAGTGTCTGCAGCCTTTCCAAGCCCCAAGTTCATGAAAACGGCCCATAGTAAGAGATATTTGTTTTAAACATGAACCTGGATTCATTGTCATCTGATATTAGAAATCTGAATTCAAAGATTTCCTGGTGCGATAAGGAGAAGATGAGGCTCTCCTCAGGCCTGCTCTTCTTTGTTCCTGGCTGGGCACGTGAAGGTCTCAGCTCTGAAGACAAGGCTCTCCTCATGCCTGCTCTTCTCTTTTCCTAGCTGGGCACGTGAAGGTCTCAGCACTCACAAGACATATCTTCTCATGAATGACCTTGTGTTTGGGACAAGCAACAACAACACTTGGCTGGGTGGATGGAGCCCAGAGTCAAGAGATGTCAGGGAGACCTTGAGGCCAGGAAGGCCATGGGAGCGGCCTCATAGTCCCGAAAGTGCTCTGGTGCAGTGAGCTGTCCTCTGAGATGTGCAGGATAAAGGGAGGTAAAGGGAGGGTGAAGATGGGGGTGGCCAGTAGCCACAGGGTTATTTGATGTTGAATGTCTTGCTCCTTTGGTGGTGCGCGATGCTTGGGGAGTGCAGACACTCGCAGGCACCCTGGGCCCCACTCCACAGCCCGGCATATGTGCTGTCGACAAAGGCCCCATACACCTTTCCCCCCATCAGCCAACAGGCTAAACCTCAGAGCCGGGGCACGTGCGGGACCTGGATCGAGGATGTGTGAGGGACTGACTTTGCCGAGCCACCGTCCAGCCCAGGATGGGAGACAGTTGTCTCCTGGTTCCACTCAAGATGCTGCGTGATGCCAGACCTGACCGTGACCCTCACCACAGGGGGCCCAGGCTGCCACCAGGATGGAGAGTGACTCAGGAAGGCAGGCCACCCCCTGCTAACAAGACTCGGTCACTGCTTTGGGAGAGGTGGGCAGTGGCCCTGGGAGGAGAGGGTGGGGTCCGGAGCATGGACCAAGGACATCAGTGGGAAGAGGTGGGAGGTAGGACTGTGTGTGGACCCAGGCTCCACGCCTGGAACATGTGGTTCGGCCTCATTGGATTGTGCTTACAAAACATAGACTAAAGAAAAAGTGACCATAGGTTGCAGGGGCAGGACTGCAGAGCTCTGAACCCCGAGCATGGAGCCCTTCTGAGCATGGGTGCCAGCGCTCGCGGGTCAAATGCCCATAATGCTTGCCTGGTACCTGATGAGGTTTGGATATTCACCTCTCGTCCACGAAAAGTGCCACTGGGAGAGACAGAGCGCACGCCAGCGTGCCTGGGGCTGAGGGTAGAATTGGGGGCTGAGAGCAAGCAGACTCGAGAGGATTTTGAGGTGATGAAAAGGTTCTAAAACTGGAGTGTGGCAATGGCTTCACAAATCTGTAAGTTTACCAAAAAACATGCAATTGTATGCTTGCTCACGGTGGGGGAATTTTATGGCATGTAAATTATACCTCAATAAAGCTTTAAAAATCACACTGCTGGGCATTCAGAATTTGCAGAGCAAATGGTCAGCCACGGGGCTCTGCCTCTGTTCCCTCTTCCCTGCCTCGGTTTCCCAGTCCATGACATGGGAGAGGGATTTCTAGAGAACCTTGTGCTCTGCAACTCTGGGCCTTGTTAGCACCAAAGCCGCTCCCAGCCAGTCACTCCCAGGAGGAGCGAAGGCCATGTGGTGCCTGAGGTTGGCCCAGGAGAGGGGTCTCCTGCCCCTGGGAGGAGCACCAGGCAGCGACCACTCCTGTGGTTGTTCTGGAACTGTCGCCCAGCCTCCCGAGCTGTAGGTGACGGCAGGCTGAGGGTGCCCTATGCCAGGTAGTGCCCGGAGCCATTAAAGCACAGCATTGGTCTCAGTGCACCTTCTCCACCACCCAAAAGCTGCGCTTGTGGCCGTGGTGCAACCTCATAGCCCGGGCCCGTCAGGCCTGGAGCAGTGTTGAAGCTTCACATCCCATTCCAGGTGTGGTTTCCGGAATGCATCTGCTACAATAAACCCCTGGGGTTCAAATAACCGCCAGAAACATGGCTCTGTGTCAGGGCTTGCCATTCCAGCGTCAGTACCGAGTGCTCACTGCTGTGGGAGCGGCAAGGCAGGCGGGGAGCCCTAGGCCTGTACAGCTGCTAACCGAGCTCCCTCGCAGACACAGAGGCCCCGAGAGTGAAACCGTGAAACTGAACACAGCAGCCAGTGGGTAGGAGATGCTCAGCGCAGCTCTCCGTGCCTCAGCTCCCTGCAGAGATGCAGGAAAGCGGTCAGGTGTGGACCCTGCCCAGGGTCTCCCCAGAGGCCTGTGGATCTTCAGGCTTCATCCAGAACAGGTGGGGTCCCTAAGCCAACCTCCCCCAGCCCTGCAGGCACAGGCACCTTCACACAGAGGAGCAGAGGGAGGGAGTCAAGTTGGAGAGGCTGAACTTCTCCCTCATGGGCTGGTTGGCATTGATGCCACGGGCGGGATCTGCAGTCAGTCCGGGGGCTCCTTAGGGAGACCGGCTGTGCTGGGAGACGAAGACACCACTCCTGCCACATCACCTTGGCACGCGAGTGTGGTGGGGACAGATTTTCATCCCCACTATCAAGCACGTGTCACATGAATATTCAGCCACCAAAGGTATGGGGGAAAATTAATGGATTCTGATTCATCTGGAAAGCTCCCTTCCCCACTGACAATATCTTCGATTTTTTTTTTTTGGTTTATCTTTGCCAATGGCCAGCATGAAGTTAGTTAAACTAATATGAAAATATGGACATGCCCTCCTTGAGCCCCTGGGGAAAGACTGGTCCCAACGCAGCCCCCACCATGCCCCTGAGTGCACGCTGTCTCGTGGGAGGCCCTCAAGCTTCCCTGAGTCCTGACCCAGGTGAGTGGGCACCAGCGTCTTCCATTGCACACAGCGTTTCTCCTGAGTCCAGATTCCCGTTTTCTCTGGAGACTGCCAAAAAAATGTCACCTACAGCATCTGCCTTTCTTTTCTTTCGATTGAACTGGCTGTCCCCAGCAGATGAGTCTGCGGGAGCAGATGGGAAACTGACGGAAAGCCAGGGAGGAGGGGGAGGCAGGGTGGCCGGACACCTGGAGGCCAGGAGTTGGCCACTGCAGGGCACCCCTGCCTTTGTGGGAAGGAGCCTCCTCCCTCGAACCCTGCAGCCCTCAGCATGACTCAGAACACGCAAGTTTTCCCACTTAGAATTGCAGGGTGTGCTTCTGTGCTAAGGTGGCCACAGCGCACATGGACGTGAGGACTCAAGCACGGCCCAGAGTCAGACTACACTCTCCACCTCCCATCACCATGACCGCCAGCTTCTCCAACAAAAGGTTCTGGGTGCTGGCGAGGTCCCCAGGGCACAGCGCTGGGTGTGAGAGTGCACAGGCAACTCTGATACGGCCCTGCCCTCAAACAGCTCCAGGATGTGTGGGGAGAGAGACATCTGGACACCAGTAACATGTTTCGGTGGCACGGTACTCACAGGCCCGCCAGCCTCCAGCCTCTCTGCTCCATATGGGGTGCGGCTGTCCCTGGGACGGTCACCTACAGAGGCCAGCAGTTGGCAGGCCATCTTCATCTGAGAGGCAGGGAGCAGGACGGAGGGAAAGGCTGCTTTGAAATCCTGTCCCTTCACCCAAACCAAGGACACTTGACGATAAAGCAAAGCTCCCTAGGAGCGGACGCTTCAACCTGTCTCCCCAGGTACCTCCCTGTGCACCCCCCATTCAAACCTGCTTCCCATGGGGATGCCTGCAAGGACACACTCTGAAAACACATCCCAGGAGATGAGCGGCAGTGTGAAACGACCCTGCCCACGAGGGTAGGCTGCGTGTCCAAAGGAGACCGACTGCCCTGGGCTGCTGGGCAAGAGAGTGTGAAGGCTCTGAATCGGCATGCAGAAGGCACTCGGTAAGTGCTAGAGGAACTTGAATCTGCCACGTGGGGATGACAAGGTGCTCTGAGCATCTACTGCTGTGTAACACATGACGCCTGAACTTGGTTGAAATAACAACAATCGGTCACTGAGCTCACCAGTCTGCACTTTTGGGGTGAATGGGGCTGAGAGACAGAGACAGAAAGGGAGAGAGAGGGGAAGCTGGCCACGTTGCTCTGGGAAGACATGTCTGGGCAGTCCTCCCGTCATGGCAGTGATGGTGGGGTATGCTGGTCAGCTGTTTCTCACTAGAGAGAAGAACCCTTTCGAGAGGCCTCCCTCCCTTTGGCCAGGTCAAGAGCTAAGGCTGAATGTTACCTGGCATGCTGTGAAGTCCCATGGGCCTGTGGCCCTGCCTGACTCTTGGGGAGCCTGCAGAAGTGAGGAGGGGTGAGCAAGAGGACACCAGGAGGAGAAAGATCAGTTCGGGGGAATCAGCACCAGGCTGGAGGGCAGGAAGAACAGCCGTCCCCACTCTCCACTTAGGATGGCCAGGCCTAGAGCCTGCAAAGAGGTCAACCCTTGAAATTCAGAAGTCCCAGGCCAGGCTGCTGGCTCTGAACCTCACATATGAATTCTCCTGAGCCACTCCACATCCCTGAGACTCAGTTTCCTCATCTAGGAAAGGGTTAATCACTGCACTTTCTTCCCAGCTTGGGTGAGTGGCATGTGATGCTCGGGGCCCCGCTGCATGGCATGGAGACCCCTTTTCTGATCGTGAGATCATCTTAGTTTCCACGCAGCCATGTATTTTGTCCCTCACGTTCGCACAGCCTAAGATTTTGTCTGTTACCACCTACCCTTGAAAGGCCGGTGAACCTCAAGCCTCTTCCGTGTGCACCTGCAGCTGCAGCCTGAGTTGATGGCAGGGCCTGCTCTGCCCCCAGGCAGCAGTGGAAAGGGCCAAGGGTCCTTCATTTCCACACCTGGGTACTCCCTAACCCTACAGGATGGATCTTTTTTTTTAGCAACTGGGGCATCTAAGAAGGAAGTACAGTGCATAGGAGGAAGAAGTGACCGGTGAAGCATCTCAACTTCATATGCTATTTGCTAAAGGCCTTTCTGCAGCTGTCTCTGGATAGGAGGGCCCCATGTTCTCCAGTGGACGTGTGTGTATGAGGAGGTCCCCATTGGACTCAATCAGATCACAAAGAGCAGGTGGCTATACCTGCAGACTTTACCTGTGGGGTCACTTCTGTGGGCTCTGACTTTGGCACACCTAGGATGACCTTGCTGGGGACCTGGGAAGAATGCCAGGGAGCTGCAGAGTTCCTTTCTTGCCTCTTGACTTGTGAGCTGGACAACAGGCCCTCTGTGCCCAGGATCCATGGGGCTCCTTCACTGGGCCCCGATGGGCAGGTCACAGAGGGTCTCCAGAAGAAGCTCTCACCCTTCACAGGAGCTGCCATGAAGGGCAAGTGACACAGTGTGCAAAAACATTGTACAAAGCAAAGCAGGCCGCACAAATCCAGAAAATGTGGAGAACAGGGGGCTGCCCAGGAATTTGGTATCATTTGTAAGTAAGACAAGAACTGCAAGTTCCAGGAGGTGGCGGTGTGCTTGGCAGGCGCCAGGCTGTGATTCTCTGACGGGTCTGATGGTGCCTGAGGCCGTCCTCAGAGGAAGGGCCACCTGCTCCATGTTAGGGAGAGAAAGCACTGCCTGCACCCTGGGAGCTGATGTTATGCCTAAAAGAAACGCACACAAGCAGAAGTGTCCTCGGGCAGATTCTCCCTCACTACAAACATCTTTCAGCCAAAGAGAAATTCTAGTTGCTCTAAGGGCAAAATCTGCAGAGCCCGTCTGATCGCTGGCATTGCTGCCACCTTCTCATCCTGCCATGCAGCCCTTCCCGTTGCACCACCCTCTCTCCACCTCTGTCACCTGACAGGCCCCACTTTCCAGGAGCCCCTCAGCCAGCGGGATTGCACTCTCAATTTCACCGCTGGGCATTCCTAATGGAATTCTGCTTCTTTTCCATTTCTTTCCAGGCCTCCTTTTATCCATGAATCTTAAAATTTCCAAATGATTTAGCTAGTCCTTGGAACGGAATCCCTTGTATAGAAGAACATAACAGCTCAGAGAATAAAGACAAGTGGCCAAAGCCACAAACAAAGCTAAGGGCTGAATCGTGGCTGGAATTCAGGTTTCCAGGCCAGACCCTTCTTTGCAGCTTGGAGGAGAAGGATAAAACCTCAGCAGAAAGAAGGTGCATGAAGCAAGCTGCAGATGCTGCAGTTAGCAGGGGGAGTGAGCTGAGGAGGCACTCCTTCCACTCACGGGAACAGCCAGGAGCTGCCAAGTGACACGCTCTGACCAAGGAGAAATAGTGGAAGTTTGCCAGGGACATCTGAGAAAGCTTTTCCTTTCCTCATGGAAATGGCCAAACAGCTGGCACTGCCCTTTGAGACTGGACACAAAGCCTGGAGGAGCAGCAGACATCCCGCAAAGGCGAGAGAAAGGCCGGGAGAGCCACAGAGCCTCTGCTGGGATGTGCAGCTGCTGAGCTGACACCAACCAGCACTGACCCCCAAACCACCTGCCCGGTGAGAAAAACACACTTACTGGTTTACGCCATTGTTTTCCGGGTATTTGATCACATGCAGCCTCATTTATTCCCACATGATGCAGGCTTTTCTGCCTTGATGCAGCCCACAGCCACTCCATCTCAGGGGAGCGATAGACGCAGGAACAGCAACAACAAATTTCAGTCTGTCGACACAGTCGACTTTGTTGCCTCCTGACTGTCCCACACAGCAGGTGCTCCTGGTCCGTGGAAGCCTTCCTTCTGCACTTTTGCCCTCTCCCAGGAGGATGCTGCATTCAGCCGGCAGATGGGAAACATGGGACAGTTATCTATTGACACAGAACAAATCATCCCCACAACTCTGAAGCACAAACCGGTTTGAATGGCTTCAAACCACAAACCGTTATGATCTCACAGTTTCTGTGGGTTGGAAATCCGTGCACAGCTCAACTGAGTGCCTCCATCTTGTATTCTTGGATGAGGATGGAGTGAAGCCCTCAGCAAGGGCTTGGGTTTTATCCGAAGGTTCAACTGGAGAAGGTTCCATGTCTAAGCTCATTCACGGTTGTTGGTAGAATTCAGATCCTCATGGACTCTTGGACTTAGAGCCTTTGTCTCTGGATGACCATTGGCTCCAGTCTGTGCTCAGGCCCTTGCCAGGGGGGCCTCTGCCTGGTGTAGTGCACAGCATGGCAGCTGGCCTCATTAAAGCAAGGGAGGAAGGGAGAGAGGGAGGGTGCTGGGACAAGACAGTGAGAGCAGAACAGAAGCCACTGTCTTTTTATGTCCCATCCCATTACTTCTGCAATGTTCTGTGTAGTCCCCTCCATACTCAAGGAGAGGGGTCCCACAGGGTGTGAATGCCAGGAAGTGGGGATTGCTGGGTATCTCAGAGGCTGCCTCTCACAGGCATAAAGGCAGGCCTGTGCCTTGTTCACCTGTCCTGGGGTGGCACACTTCACTTTTGCTATCTGTCTCATCAGGTGACCACGACTGACCACGGGGACGCTGGGAAGGCAGTCTAGTGGAGGTTCAGGAGCCACAGGATATGGTGAGAAGAGTGACCACAGTCAGGCTCTGCCTCACCAGGTGGAAGCTCCCTTCCTCCAGGACCTGCAAGGCTCCCTGCCCTCATCAGCCCCCCAGCCTATGAGATGCTCTGTCTCACCTGCTGGAAGGTATTTTCCCCTTCATGCTTCTGGCTAAGATAGTTTGTACTTCGGATTCTCGCTCTTCCACTCAAACCTAGGGCTTGGGTTTTTGGAAACAAAATCCATAAATTCTTGCGGGGGATGAGATTTCTGCTTTGACTAAGTCATGACCCTCTGTGAGGCTATAAGCCTGGTGCTGCTGACCACCTGCTTGAATTGGAGGATGGACAGAGAAGGAGAGATTATTGGGGCAAAAGCAGAAGGATGGATGCCCTCCAGGGAACACAGCATAAATTCTAATCCCTCAACCAAGGACTCTGATGGTATCAGGCAAGCCTGTGCTCCCCCACAAATACCTGACCTCTGCTACTCAGGTGGGAGGTGAGTCTTGGAACCACATGCCTTTCCACATCGGGCTGTTGGGAGTGAGTGGGACCCATGTGTTCTGTGGAAACTGAGGCTCTCAACAGAGTCCAGCATCTGGGCGGGGCTGCCTCACTCAGAGGTAAGAACGGGGGTCAGGGTTGATATTCCCTGAGAAAGTAATTTTAAAGTAATGTTGACTTGCTCCAACCAACACCCCCCCAGATATCTTCACCATGCAAAAAGAAAGTTGTGTCTAATGCATGTGTCCCGACAATGAATCACCTCACTGGGGCATCTTAGAATGCCTGGCACACACACCACGTGGCAGCCTGGGTCTCCCCACAGCACTGTTCCAGTCCAGCACACTCATCCAGAACGTGCCACCACTCCCCCCAAGAAGCGAATCTCTTTCTTCTGCTCTTGGAACTCATGAGACTTGATGGCCACCTCATTGAATAAAATGCTGCAGAAGTGACACCATATGACTTCCAAGGCCAGGACATGCAAGATGAGACAGCTTCTTCTTGGACTTCCTTTCTGTCAGGACCTCGATCTTGTAACCAAGCCACCATGTTGTGAGGAAGCCCAAGTGCTCTAGCTGACAGTCCCACCAAGGTCCCTGCCCACAGTCAGCATCAGCCACCCGACATGAGTGAGCATTCAGGCAACTTCAGACCCAGCCCGTAAACCCTCCCTGCTGGTGTCCCCGGCTCGGGGAGGAGCCGTCCCACCCAGCTCTGCTTCAATTGCAGATTCATGAACAAAATAAAGGTTGCCATTGTTATTAGCAGCAAGAGTTGGGATTTGTTACACTGCATTGGATAACAACCATGGCACATGCTCCCTGGCTCACTGGCCCAGGTGAATAACTTGTGACATGTACAGCGAGAGCCACCTGCTTGTGGAAGGGGTGACAGTAGGCAATAAACCAGTGAAACCAAACAGAAGCAGATTCAGTTTAGCACCGTTTTTCCATGGTCTTGCACTCTGACCATGATCTCCTGGGAGGCCAGGGCATAACGATCAAACCATGTGCCCGTAAATGAGGTTGGAAGAGTGGAAGTCATGTCCGGGAAGGAGCACATGAAGACGCTGCAGAATCCTCCGTTTTCATGGCGAGCAGTTCTGGCACAGCCTCCCCGCAGTGTGACACCTCCCTTCTCCGGGAAGGAGCTTCTCCTGCGGGTGGAGATCAGGGCATGTGCCCAGAAGAAAATTGCAACCAATTATGACACTTTAAAAGCTGACAAACACTACAAGCATCACAACATGAAGAAAAATAGCAGCAACAGTCATTTAATAATTATCAGCCTGTTGTACATTTCTCTCCAACTGTTTATCTGTATACTTCTTGATGGTCTCTTCATACAAGTACACAACATCATTTCTATGAAGAAAATGGAAAGATAATCCAGTCTCCTTCAGCATGAGTGACCTCTTTTTTATCTCAGTTGTTGAAAGTTTAGAAAAGTTCATTTTAACTTGGCAGCCCACTATTGGTAATGACGAGAAATTTTAGGATTCTTGTCAAATTTAGGAAAATCTCTATCATATTTCTTTCACACCCAATCTGTAAAATATTAATGCTTTTTATGTTTTCTTGGGTAGTGAATACTCTTAAATACTTTGGATTGATATTTTGAACTAATTTCACTTTTGTTGAACAGATAGAGGGTTTTCAGGTGGCAAAAACTACAAATTCCTTATAAGAATTTTTTCCCATTGGACGGGAACTACACATTAGAGCTCCTGGAACTTCAGTCTTATTAGCTTCATGCAAATTCATCTGAGCTTGTGTGTCCCCAGGCAGGAGAGCCTCTCAGCAGCAAAGTGAGGGCTGTGCCATCGCCCACCACACAGGGCTGTGGAGAGTCAGTGCGGCCGTGCAGGTGCCAGCCCACTCCTAAGTGCTGGGTACAGGTGAGCTTTATCATTACTTACTGTTGTAAACCCTGGCAAATGTCTCCACAAGACTGTAAAGTGAATACTGGCAGCATGTGTTAGAGCAGCCTGTATAGTTCTCCTGCAAAACACAGACCTTGGAAACCTCGGCTCTTTTTTGTTTGTTTGTTTGTTTGTTTTTTTGAGACAGAGTCTCACTCTGTCACCCAGTCTGGAGTTCAGTGATGCGATCTCTGCTCACTGCAACCTCTACCTCCCATATTCAGGTGATTCTCTGGCCTCAGCTCCCCGAGTAGCTGGGACTACAGGCATGCACCACCACGCCCGGCTAATTTTTGTATTTTTAGTAGAGATGGGGTTTCACCATGTTGGCCAGGCTGGTTTCAAACTCCTGACCTCAGGTGATCGGCTTGCCTCAGCCTCCCAAAGTGCTGGGATTACGGGCATGAGCCACTGCCTCAGCCTCCCAAAGTGCTGAGATTACGGGCATGAGCCACTGCACCCGGTCAGCTAACGCTTCAGCTGTCACCCAGTTTTTAAAGGACAGCGCTGTCTTTCCACCCCTAATGGAAGCTAATTTCTTGCTTATAAAGAGTTAACTAGAAATTAGCTTCCACTAGGTGTGGAAAGACAGTGTTGTCCTTTAAAAACTGGGTGACAGCCCTACCAGCACAGCCAAACACACCTATTGGAACGGTTGGTAAAACAGCACACGTGCAGGTGAGGACGCTGCTGGGGGGAGTGCAAAAGGGGGATAGCCTCCTGGAGAGTGGCTTGGCTGTGCCCTAAAACGTCAGCCACATACCACTACATGACTCAGCAGTCTGGGCCCCTGGGCATTTTCTCTAGATAAATAAAAACCTGAACGTGGATGTTTATAGCAACTCTAGTCATAATCACCAAACACTGGAAAAGCCCAAATGCCCTCTAACAGTGGAATAAATGACGGCACATTCGTGTCATGGACCGCTTCCCAGAAATAAAAACAAACTAACTTGATACAGGCGACAACCTGGGGTGGGTCTCAAGGTGTCACGCTGAGTGAAGGTAGCTCTGCACTGTGGGGCTCTGATTCTGCTCCATTCTTGAAGAGACACCACTGGAGGAACGGTAAATAGGTCAGCAGCCCGGGGGTTTCGGTGCAGGAGGGTGTGGCTACACGGAGCAGCAGGGGGGCGTTGTGCGGATGGAATGTGGTGGTGGTTACACAAATCTCTGTGTGCATTAGAACTCACAGAAGCATGCACAGACAATCAACGCTACTGCGGCTCTATTAGTCTGTTCTTTGCTGCTGTAAAGAAATACCTGAGACTAGGTAATTCATAAGGAAAAGAGGTTTAATTGGCTCATAGTTCTGCAGGCTGTACAGGAAGCATGGCTGGGGGGCCTCAGCAAACTTACAGTCATGGCAGAAGGTGAAAGGGAAGCAGGCATGTCGCACGTGGCTGAAGCAGGAGCAAGAGAGACAGCGGGGAGGTGCTGCACTCTTAAACGACCACAACCCGTGAGAACTCACCCACTAAACAGTACTGAGAGGACGGTGCTAAGTCAGGGGAACTCCACCCCCATGATCTGATCACCTCCCACCAGGCCCCACCTCCAACACCGGGCATTACAATTCGACGTGAGATTTGGACGGGGACACAGGTCTAAACCATATCAGTGACAGTGACAACTACACAGCCAGGGGAGCTCCCTTCTGGGCCCAGATGCCCAGGACCTCAACCAAGTAGCTCGCGGGGTAGCGAAGGCGGCATGCCAAGCAGGGTTTAGGCGTCTGAGCCTTGCTCGTTTCAGAAGCACACGTGGTGGAGGAGCAGACAGACTGGGGTCGGGGCTTGCGGGCAACCTCCTCCGAGGGCAGGGCCGGTATCCAGGGGACAGGAGAGAGGGGTAGCCAGGCAGTGCCTCGCAGCCATGGGAGGAGGGAAGGAGTCACGCACGTCTGAGAGGCAAGAAGATTGCCCATGAGGCTGCCTGGCCGGGGACTTGGCAGGGGGAGCCACAAGGGTCCAGGGCCCTGAGCAGCCTCTCGTGTGGTGGCATGGGTCAGGCCTGAGTGGGCAGTGCTTGGAGAGTTGATCCTGAGATGTGGGAAGGTGCTGAGGGCCAAGCCCTCTGAAATGCCAGCAAAGCGCTGCTCATGTGAGAGTGGGAAGTGGGGTCAGGGAGGGGACTGCTGTGTCACCAGGACACCCGGCTGGCTCTCCGGTCCTGGGCCCCTGACCACCTCTCTCCCAGATGCCTCTGTCCACGCTTCCTGAGAGGCGACCCTAGCTTGACAGACAAACCGTTGGAAACCACGAACACCAGGAGGCCTCCCATGCAGAGGGCTGGCCAGGGTCTAAGGAAATTGGAGAGAGATTTTGTCTACCCACACAGAGTCCCTCTGATACGAATCCACTGCAGGATGCGGTGCGGGCCAGGAGCACCCAGCCCCAGCCTGGAGAATCGATGAGAGCGACGGGAGCAGCCCATTTCATGGTATCTATCCCGTGGTACGTGACGTTTCTAATTTTAGACGCAGGTTGTCATGGCAACAGGATGTGTTTTTTTTGTTAAATATAGCAGCTGTTTCAGTCTCACATGCCCTATGGTCAGGAGTATGCTTTTGCTTGGAAAGCACTCGGATATTAGGTGTAAGGAATGAGGAATGAGAAACATTGGCTTTACACAGGAGAATGGAGGAAGCCTGCCTGATAAACAGTGTTTTCAAAGCATCAGCGCAGAGGTCGTGCAACTCCAGGCCGGGGGCTTCCCCCGACTTGCCAGCGCACCAGTGTCTCTGAAATAAGACTGCACTGCAGAAAACCTCACTCCAGCAATGCCCAGGAGTCCAGGCTTTGGGGGCTACCAACAGGGGTCACTGTCTGGGGCCCTCTACACTGGGCACATCACATGAGTTTTGCTGGTCCTGGTCTCTCCATCTGCAGGGCAGAAAGGCACCAGCTCCCAGTGCCCTGGTTCCTGGGCAGATCCTGCACCCACTGGCTCTGGCACCACTTCATAAACGACAGACCCATTTCCGCCGTGAAGAACAATGAACATTGATGCGAGTGAACACAGGGCAGCTTCCTTCCCACGGCCGTGTGTCTCCTGCGAAGGAGGCTAACAGAGCCATGCTCAGGCCTCCCAGGGAGGCTCCACTCACTGACCAAGCAGGCTGGGTCCAGGCCCTTTTAGAGGAAAGGCTGCTTTCCCTGGGCTCCATACAGAGACACTCCTCAAGCACTTTGCCCACTTCTCTATTAAACAGCAAATCCCCCATATTAATTTTCTGTTTCTGCTACAGAAAATTGCCACACATTTAGTGGCTTATGACAGCACGCAGTGATTACTTCATAGCTCTGTTGGCCAGAACTCC
The DNA here is from genome assembly GCF_000001405.40 of Homo sapiens. Taxonomy (NCBI): domain Eukaryota; kingdom Metazoa; phylum Chordata; class Mammalia; order Primates; family Hominidae; genus Homo; species Homo sapiens. The sequence continues at coordinate 59,284 of NW_011332689.1, read as the reverse complement.
AGCTCAGGCTCACTGGGCTAAAATCAAGGTGTCTTCAGGGCAGGGCTGTGTTCCTTCTGTAGGCTGAAAGGGTGAATGCATTTCTTTATCTTTTCCAGTGTCCAGAGGCCACCTACGTTTCTTGGCTTGTGGCCCCTTTATCCATATCTGAGGTCAGCGATAACGCATCTCTCTGACCCTTCTTCCACTGTCGTTTCTCTCTCTGACTGCAGCTGGGAAATGTTCTCCACTTGATGATAACTGGCGACATTCACAGATACTTACATCCCTAAGCAGCTCTCAAAAAATCCTTTAGAAGAGACCATAATCGTCAACGCTTGATCACGCCTGACTTTCATTCTTTCATCCACTCATCCATGCACTTACCCATCCATCCACTCACGCACCCGCATACCTACTCATCTGTTCATCCACCCGTCATTCATACATCCACCTGTACATGCATCTAGCCATCCACCAGCTCTTCCATTCACTCATTTACCTGTCCATCCACCTACCACCCATCCATCTACTCGTCCTTTCATCCACCCATCATTCATACATCCACCTGTACATGCATCTAGCCATCCACCAGCTCTTCCATTCACTCATTTACCTGTCCATCCACCTACCACCCATCCATCTACTCGTCCGTTCATCCACCCATCATTCATACATCCACCTGTACATGCATCTAGCCATCCACCAGCTCTTCCATTCACTCATTTACCTGTCCATCCACCTACCACCCATCCATCTACTCGTCCGTTCATCCACCCATCATTCATACATCCACCTGTACATGCATCTAGCCATCCACCAGCTCTTCCATTCACTCATTTACCTGTCCATCCACCTACCACCCATGCATCTACTCACTTGCCCACCCACCCATCTATCCATCCATCCATCCACTCACCCATCCTTTCATTCATTCACCCATCCATTCACCTATCTATCCATCCCTCCACCATGCATCAGCCCACCCACCCACTACCCATTTATTTGTGCAACCATCTATCCATTCATCTATTCATCCATCCATTTGTCCATTCATCCTTCCACCCATCCATCAACCCATCATCTATCCATCCCATCCCTTTCATCCATCCATTCATCTATCCATCCACCCATTCACACATCCTTTCATCCATTCATGCATCCATCCACCTATCCATCCACCCACCCACCCATCTACGCATCAATCCACCAATCCACTACCCATTTATTTATGCAACCATCTATCCATTCATCTTTCCATCCATCCATTTGTCCACCCATCCATCCACCTACCTATCCATTTATCCCATCCATCCATCCATCCATCCACTCACTCATTCTTTTGTTCATTCATCCATCCATTTATCTATCCATGTACTTATCCATCCACACACCCACCCAAAAATCAATCCACCCATCCACTACCCACTTATTTATGCAACCATCCATCTATTCATCTATCATCCAGTTCTCCACCCATCTATCCATTCATTCATCCACCCATCTATCCATCCATCCCATCCATCCATCCATCCATTCATCTGTTTATTTATCTATCCATCCACCACTTATCAATATCTTACTACAAGCCAGGCCTATGCTAAATTCAGGAGAAAAATAACTGAATAAAATGACTCTTGACCACCAGGAGCTCACATTCTATTGGGGACTAAGGCATGCCAATAAGAAACTTCTACACACCCACACAATTATCTCAGAACAGAATCGTGTGGGGCATGGAAAATTTCTTCAGTTTGGGGAATATGAGCATTATTCAGATGAGACTGCTGCCCCCCAGCAACTGAGATCTAGCTGGAGACTGAGAAATACCAGAAATCATGAGAATACAAGTCAGCGAGAAGTTGTACTAGGAAAGGCCAAAGGGAGGCACAGAACAGGTGTTGTAGCAGTTAACAGGAGGGGGTAATTGTGTCCATCGTCACAATGCCACCCTGGCCTCCCACGGGATAGTTGCTCCTTAAGCTGGCCTGGATTGACCTTTTGAGAAACATTCTCTTCTTGTGCTGTGTCTGCTGACAAAATGTCTTAGAGCAATATTTAGATTTGAAATTCTAGCTTTGGGATATTAATTTCTCTGAATCTAATTTTTCTCATCTATAAAATGGAGATAATTATACTTATTTAAGGAATGTTGTCATGAACACACAAAACAATGTGCACTGAGTGTCTTGCTCCCTGCTTGGTGCCTTCCTTGGTTGATTCACTCAACAGATACCAGTGGACACTTACGAGGGCTGAACATGCTTGGTGGAGAAGAAGCAGGTACACCGTTAATGAGAAGTGTACCTATGTAGGGGCATGAGAGCTAAGAAGGGACAGACAAGTGGCAGCAGTGCACAATGCCGAGGCGACACCTGCTTGGACAGGGCACCAGGAAGATCTCCTTGGACGCAGCACAGCCAGAGGCTGGGGAGGAGCCCGGGCTCCGGGCAGAGGAATGGCGTTGGGCAGTGCCTGACAGGTGCTGGCTTTCTGTATGCCCCTGCCTCCTGCTTGGCCTGGAGTAAGCAGCTGCAATCAGCCCCGGGTCCCTGCGGAGGCTTGGGAGGGGAAAGAGTCATTATGCACATTTTATCGAGTGGAGGATGAGGTCACCGGTGATTGATGCCTCGGTTGCTCCCAACACAGACACGTTGGGGGCTCTGGAAGTCGAAGCCAGTGCCATGAGGACAAGGCTGGGGGGAGACGGCTCCCAGGGCCCCTCCCTCTGTGCTCTGTGAGGACCATTACAAGGAGCGAGGGTAGGCGTCTGGAGCAGGTCCATTAGGCCCCACAACACAGCCCAGATTGATGCCATGGAGGGCGGAATGGAGCAGCAGGGAAGGGGTGGGCCGCTGTCCCCACTGGCCAGACACGGAGAGCACGAAGAACACATGGAGGGGCCCAGGATCTGACTTGAAATGTGCACGGACATCCGGGGGCACTTAGGCCACGTTTCCTCCTGCTTCCATAAGGCTGTGTTTTCAGAACAAGGATGACTATGCTCTCTCCCTGGTCAGGAGAGGATGGCGAGGTGATTCAGAGGAAGCAAAAATTCTCAGGCACTCTCCAAAACGCAGGGCATTGCAATGGCAGATTTACTTCCTGCTTACTCAATACATTAGGTCTAAGCACAGGCCTCCTTGGTGCGTGTTCCCGAGGCCCGTTCCTGAGAACTGCACACCGCAGGCTGAGGTACTGGGAGCGTCCAGATCGGAGGGTGAAGGGGGGACCACAGGGTGTATGTCACCCATCAGGAGGGTGAGGAAATCCCATTATTAGGGGCACATTAAAACCTGAATGAGAATGATGGCCCAACCCTTCCTGAGCTACAAGCTGGGGAACCGGCTTCATGGGACCTCCCAGTACCAGCCAGGCCCTGATGTAGCCTCCAGATTCAACGCTGTGCTGCATTCAGAAAATCTGGTGGACATCTCCAGACACCCCAATCCTGTGGCGTCCAGGCTAAGAGTCTTAACCTCTCAGGGGCTCAGAGAGGTGCAGCCACATGTGCTCAGGCTCACACAGCAGCATGGCCTGAGATGGACAGCCGGCTCCTGAGTTTGGGACCAGGGCTTCGACGCACCAGGACCCACAGAGCACCCTGTGCCCACAGGGCCAGTGTGCTCTCGGGGGCTCCACGTGCAAACCACTGGCCGGCCTGCTGCCACCAGGCCTCTCTCTCCCACTTTCCAGACAGTTGGCCTGCCCCTGTTTGGAAAACAAGTGTGGAAACCCAGCCAGGCCACCTAATGTCTTCCTCATTCACACCCTTCCCTCTCCGGCTCTGTGGGTGATGCTAGAGCTCACGTATTAAACGTTGTCTGTAGAGTTGGTGATTTCTTCCCTAGATTACTCGGATGGTGTTTATTTTTATTCCTTTTGTCCATCGCGCAGTGAGTTTCTTCTCTCTTTAAAAATGCTTCACCCATGAGTTGCTCAAAACAAGGGGCTTCTGCCAGCACCGTTCCTATGCACGGCAGAGTTCCCACGCAGGACAGAGCTCCCACGCAGGGCAGAGTTCCCACGCAGGGCAGAGTTCCCACGCAGGGCAGAGTTCCCATGCGGGGCAGATGTCCAGGAGTCAGCCTGGGCCCGGTCATGGTGGGTGACGTGGGTCTTCATGTAGCCCCGCAGATCCCACCCAGCTGGGCAGAGTCATCCTCAACCCTGGCAGAGTTGGTGCTACCATCTCCACAGCCTGCTCCTGCTGGGAGCGGCAGAGTCGCTCCTGCTTTTGTGGTGACTTCCAGGCTGGCCCAAAACCCCTCTGCTGGGCCTCTGGGTGCCGCGGCCCTCAGCTCAGCCTCCCTTCTTCCCCAAGCCTGCACAGTGCAGGAAGGCTGCCCTTCCCCCTCTCCGCCCACACTGCAGGAAGTACATACCAGCTGCAGAGGGGTAGGAAGGGCCCCGGGCCGCGCTCCAGCGGGCCTGGGGTGCTGGCAGCCAGGATGAGCTTGGTCAGCCCGGGGTTCACCTGGTGTTTCTGTACCAGGGTATGGAGGCAGCACAGAGACGAAGCCCCTAGCTCTGCCCCCGAGACCACCAGAGGGCCTGCACTGCACTACCCCTGCCCTTGGGGACCACTCCTCACACAGAATGGACCCAACGACCCAGCTGTGCGGGCCAACGGCCCCCTCCTCCCTGGCCTGGGTGTCCCCTGGGTGACGTCTACTGCCCGGGCTTTGGAGGTGTAAAGTGACTGTGGCCACGTGCCTGCCCTGTCCAGGAGGGGCTCCCCCATCAGGGAGGGGCTCCTTCCCAGGCCGCAGAGGCCCATCCTCCCCAGGCTTCCTGTACCCTCTGTCTGGGAACCAGCAGCCGCAGCCCCTGTGCCACCCCGGCCATGTGTGGAGGGCAGTGGCTGGGAGCTTGGGGGCAGCATCATGCGGTCCTTCAGATGCCACCTCCCACTTGGTGGGCTTGTTACCTGGCTGAGCCTCAGTTTCCTCGTTGGGATCTTACCTTTCTGCCATGGCTAGGTGAGAATGACCTGAGGTCATGGTGAAGTGGCCTGGCAGGGACAGGGTGGGTGCTAGGATGGGGAAGGTGCCTCCGCTCCTGCCTGAGTCCTGGAACAGGACGGCTCCCTGGGGATCGGGCAGGGGAATGGGGAGGAAGTCGTCCGTGTGAAACCTTGGAGCCTTGTGGAGAGCCGGGCCTGCAGAGGAGAGCTTCAGAGCAGACCCCGGAACCCACCGGACCCACTGGGGTAGACACGGCCACGGAAGAGCTCAGGAGGTCCCCCCAGCAGCCTCTCCCAGGACAAGGCCACATTGTGGTCTTGGGGACCTGGGCAGCCCATTGCCTCTCTCTGTCTTTGGGCTTCACTTGTAAAACACAGAGCCTGGGATGAGCAACAGCTGACGTCTGTGGGAACATTCCGGGGGCTCCTCTCTGGCTCTCTGGGCAAGAAAACCTCCCACAGCCCAGGGACGCTGCCCGAGGAGGCTAGGACAGCCTGGATGTGCCAGGCCCCACGCCCTGGGCTTGCCCTCCAAGTGGAGGTGTCCAGGTGGGGAGGTGGGCATCCAGGGCCTCTCCAGGGCTCCTGCATGTGGGATGTGGATGATCCTCGAGGTGGTCCTGATGGGCGGTCCGGACAGCGCCGCTAGGTAGAGCCTGGGAATGAGTGCGGTGCTCCCAGGAGAATGACCCGCCTGGCTTGGCCCTGCCCAGGGAGATCCCAGGGACAAGCGCCGATGCCTGAGAGGCTGCAAAAGAGACCAGCCCAGCGGGTGTCGAGGGCCTGGGCCCATCCAAAGGCCATGCTCGTTCTGCAGGTGTGAATGGATGTTTGGGAAAGGAGCCCATAGAGGAGAAGAAAGCGGGGAGCTTGGTTGGGGGGTGTGCTGGTGCCAAGGCGGAGCAGGCAGCCTAGAGAGCAAGGGGCAGCCATCAGGGTACAAGGAAGGGGTCTGGACCCCTGGGACGGCGGCTGCAGGATGAGCGCAGGGGACGAGGGGGGCCAGGGCATTGTCACCGTGATGGCTTCCCGAGCTGCTTCCCATCCACCCTCCTGCAAGACCTGCGTGTGGCCCTCCCGCCTCAGACAGCCCCAAGCTTCCAGGCCTGGATCTATGTCTGCCCTGTGTCTGGGGGTGTCCTTGGACGCCGTGAGGAAGGGGGTAAGCGTCCCAGCAGATGGAGAAAGCCCCAGAACTGAGGGCTGTTGCCTCAGCATCTGAAAATGCCTGAATTCTCATCCCAGCTCACAACTGCTTCCTGACAGTCGCTGGTTCGTTGCTACTGCTGTCTGCTTTGCAGTTGTGATGGAGAATAAGAGAGAAATATATTTGTTTGTTTTTTTGGAAGAGAAGCTTACTGTTTGTCCTCCCTAGTCCCTGCTCAGAAGGTAGCATCTCTGCAGCCCTGGCCCCAAGACAGCCTCTACTCTGAGCACCACTAGCAGAGCTGCTCCAGAGGTGCGGGGGCAGCTGCTCCCAGCGGCCCCCAGGAGGCCATGGCTGCTGCAGGTAGTTATTCTAAAGAGCTGCTCCTCCCACTTGCCAGAGCTGAACACAGGTTCTGGGAGCTCCTCCAGCCAAGCAGGAAGATGGGAGATGCTGGCCTTTCCCAGTCCCTGCCTCCAAGGCCCCAGGACTGAGGGGTGAGGGACTGAGCAGGGCTGTGCTGGAGGCCAGGGCTGGGTGACGGGGCCAGAAAGACGGGCCCTGCACGGGGAGAGGGGCAAGCTGTGCAGCCACACATGGTGTCCACTCCTGCTTTCAGGCTCGGTAGCAGATGCTTCGCCAGAGTCGAGACTCCGCCCCTCAGGGGTGGTCTTGGTGCACCCGCAGCCTGGCTGGTGTCTGAAGGAGGGGCTGTCCACCCCCAGGCTGGGTAAATGGCTCTAGTCCTGCAACTTGTCGGGGAGTTAGGCCACAGCTTCTGTCTATGGGGCCCTCTCAGCTCCAGGGATGGCCGGTCAGCACCTCTGGCCACCTTTGGGAGTCTGGGTGCTCACTGAGGATCCCGGCCCACTGCACACCCCGAACAATCAGCTCACGGAATTTGGGGTGAGGGAGCTTCCCCAGGCCCTATGCATAGTCCTGTGTGTCATCAAAGGAGGGGTTTTTACTTCCACGAAGATGTAAAACCTACCAGGGCTTTCTAAACTACCATGCTCGGCCCAGGTGACTCTGCGCGAGCCGGCTGGCCAGTTGTTGCAGATGATGAAGTGGCCAGCCTGGGGTCTCACCCGGCCACCACTCAGCTGGCCTGTAGGCCTAGCCCTGTCACAGCCCAGGGTAGATCAGGGTAGATCAGGGAGGCTGGCTTCCCGGGAAGATCATCCTGAGCAGGGGCCCCTGGGTGGCCTCAGTGGCGAGCACTTTGGCATTGGGTGGAGTCATAGAGCCCAGCTCTGCCCTTGGCTGCCTGAGACTCTTTGGGTAAGGAGCTTATTAGTTCTGAGTTTTGCCTTTCTGTAAAATGGGAACAATGGCGTCTCCTCCAGAAGGTCTTCACAGGGATTAAACGAAAGATCGCATGCGAAGCCCTGGGCACGTGAGTGGAGCATGCACCACATGACAAGATGGTAGTCATGTGTGCAATCAGAAATGTCTGCATCTGCTCAGAACATGGGAGGGAACAGCCCATGTTCCCTCCCCCAGGCAGAGCCAAATTTTCAGAACCAGGGCTCAGAGCTTTGGGGGCAGTTGGGAGCCATTTGTTGAGTGGCATCTGGTTGGTGCAACCATTTTTACTCTGAGTGCAGACCTGTCAGGGGCACGGCCCCCACCACCTGACCACACATTGTCCCCCCACACCGTGCCTGGACAGGCACTCCAAGGACACCCAGACTCTGCTCTGGACCAGAGCCCTCCTCTGTGGACCACCCCCCGCCTTCATTGGCAACACTGACATTCTTCATGGTGGGCTCTGGCCAGGGGTGGGAGCCCACGTGGTGGCTGCATCTGCAGGGCAGGTAGGCCTCAGTTCTTCCACCAGGATCCCCAACACAGTTCAGAGAGGAGAGGCCAGTTGAGCAGATTATTAAGCTAGTTTAAAAACCAAACATTTGCTTTTTGTCTTTGGTTTGTGTCTGTCTTGTTTTGGGGGCTCTGTGAGGAGCAATGTGACTTTCCACACCTCAGAGGCTGCAGAAGGAAAGGCTAAACTCCAGCCCAGGTGAGCACAGGTGAGGAGCAGGTGCGTGCAGGTGAGGGGCAGGCAGGCTGAGTATGGAGCTGCTGCCCAGGTGAGCACAGGTAGGCTGAGTGTGGAGGTGCAGCAGAGGTGTGTGCAGGTGAGGGGCAGGCAGGCTGATTGCGGAGTTGCATGTTCCTGCACTAGTGGTTCTAGCCATGTGGGGTGTGGAAGGCAGGATTCCAGAGTCCCTGGGGTGAAGAGGTTGGAGAGAGAAGGAGCCTTGCGTGGGCGACACAGACTTGAACTTGGTGCCTCTCAAAAGCCCCCCGGACTCTTCCCCCTTGTCTCTGAGAGCCCTGAGGGTGAGCACCTTCTTCAGCTTTGGGCCTGCTCTGGGCCTGGCCCTGACTGTGATTCAGGGGTCCTTGGAGAACTAAATTCTGAGTAGCATGCAAACCTGTCACACGAGAGGGAAGAGACATTCTGACTCTAATGGCAGAACTCACTGGTGGGGGCTGCTGTAGGGTCAGGGCTGGGGTGTGGTGAGCTCCAGGGCGGGGCTTCCGCTGTGGGCAAGCACCGGGCACTGGGCGTGGGCAGAGGTGCTCCGCACAAGGGGAGAGTGGGAGGAAGTCAGGACGCGGGAGCCGTGCAGTCAGACCATCAGGGCGGGGTCCGGGCTGTGAGCACACGTGCTGTTGAGGATGCTGGGGAAGAAGCGGCCACAGGGATGAGGGCAGCAAGCCAGAGCAGCAGGGGACAGGCACTGCGAGACCACACCCACCCCGGCACCTTCCCCTCCTGCTTAGCAGAAATTTGGATGCGGGCTTTTCCCTAAGCAGTGGGTTTTGGAGGTTCCCAACAATTGTGCCTTAGGCTCAAGAGATGGGAAGAAATCAAAATCCCATCGGGGTCACACATTTGGAGGTTTCCGAGTTTCCTGAACACTGGACACAAGCCCAGCCTCCACCTGCTGCTACCATGGCCCAAGCGCCTTCTCCCCAACAACTCCAGGGTCTACTAAGCAGTGGGCACCGCGCCAGGCACCCAGCGGGGCACTGTCAGGGGTGCAGAGATGAACCAGACAGCGTCTGTGCCCTCAAGGAGCTTACCAGAGGCTGGGAACACAAGACAGCTGCCCTGTTCCACGTGTATGGGGTGACATCAGACACAGTCCATCCATTGTCCATTAGAAGCAATCCCCCAACTCCCAGCAGGAGGGCCGGGAGGCTGTGCCGGTTCAGGGGTGCACTGGAACCCCGAGTCCTTTCTCCATCCTACCTCACCTTCCCCCGTGGCTTTGCTTCATCCTAGAACTAGAGCAAGACCACAGCTGCAGCTCCAGCCGGGACAATGCCCTAGGAAGTGGGAAGTGGCTCTCTGCCCAGGAGACCTATTAGACAAACAAACAACAAAACAAAAAAGAAGCTTTTTGTGATGGCAAATTTCAAACATGGACAAAAGTGGAGAGAACCGGAGAATGGGCGCCAGGCCCCACCTCGGCATGTGGGTGGTGCTCCCTCCGCCTGTCCACCCTCCTCTCCTCTCTCCTCATGCCCCAACCCGCCCCCCACACCTGTGGAAAATGCACACTCATTCCTCAGTATCGGGGTTCACATTTTCCTGATGGTCTATCCTTTGTTTTACAGGTTTAAAAACAATTGGAATCAGGACGCAGTTAAGGGCCGTGCATTGTGATTGGTTGGGGTATACGTTTTAGCCTGCAGGTCTCCTTCCACATCTGTTTTTACATTAACTTTTAAAATGTTTTACTACTTATTTGTTTGTTTTTGTGGTGGTGGTTGTTAAAGAAATTGGATCATTTCTCATTTTCTGAGTTTTGCTGAATACATCCCAAGGGTGGCATTCAACCTTTTTCCCTGTCCCCTGTAATTCCTGAAAGCTGTCGACAGGCTCCGCCGGGTATTTTGGGGAGGCTGCGCTTAGACCCTGCTGCTGGCTTTCATCTGGAGGCACGCGGGGTCCTGCTTTCTCTGGGATGTGTGCAGCGGCTGATTAGCTGCCTCGGTTCATGGCTTCCTCGGGGACTGCAAAACAACAATATCCTAACTCTAGGCTTGCTCCTGTGTTTATCAGCTGGAACACTCCCACCAAAACAAACTTCCCTTTCATACCAACTTAGCTGCCCTGAGGGACGGTTTGCATAGAGAAGTCAGTAAAGGCTTCATTTTTATCCTTTACTTATCCGTGTTCAGAGTAATGAGGTGGTTCTCCAGCTGCAGCCGAAGTTGACCAATTATCTTTTTGTTTTCTTATGAACTCATGGATGTAGACACAGTGGCGGTGTTACGATTCATTGCGGCTATCATTCTTATTCTCACTCAATCGTATCTGAAGCTTTGGAACAATGAGGAGATCTTCTGGGGCTTCTCTGACTGGCCCCTCCCCACGCCCACATCTCCTCATCCAGAATCGGGTCTGAAGTCCACGCCTGATCCCCCATCAGCCGGAGAGTGATGACGGAGCCCATCGGACTGAAGCTCTGGGGCTGGGATGGGCCAGCGCCCTGAGGAGTGTGACCACCTGGAGGACGGACACACCTGATCAATATGGAAGGGGATGGAGGGGGAAGGAGACAGGGAGCTGGGGCTGGGAGCCCCTGCCAGGGTGGGCCTCAGGCCTTCTGGGGCATGGGCAGACCAAGTGTATTCATGTGTGGGAGGCCCCTGGAACAGTGCAGGGACAGGGGGGCTCCATAAATACTCCCTGCTGTTACCACTGCTGTGGCCAAAAGCACAGTCATTAAAAAGTCGGCCCTGAATGTGCCGACTGTGAAGAGCCCGCGGACAGGAAAGTGACCCTGTGCCCACCAACAGGCTTCAGAGCGGAGGGTAAAAGTGGAAGCTGGTGGTGCCAGCCTCGAGGACTCAGCGCCGATGCTGTCCCCCAAGTCCCTGGGCTCGGGCGCTCGGGAGCCATGAGGGTGCTCGGAGCCACCTTTCCTCCTCTAAGCTGCTGCTGCCGCAAAGGCGCAGCGCAGGCAGGGAGCAAGGCGGAGGCTGACCTGGCTCTACGACTTCCGGGCAGAGCTGGTCCTGGCTTCCAGACGGCCAGACTCTCAGTGCTGTCTCTCATGGGCCTCACGGGAGGGCAGAGATGCTCCAAGTCCTCTCCGAGTCAGAGAGGCTTCCGATGTGCCTTGTGACAGTGACCCTGCAGTCCTTGGGTGTTCTTGTCCTGTGACAAGTCCCACAGCCTCAGCCTGACTCTCTCCAGGCTCCCCTGCACAGCCCCAGGCCAGAGAGCCTCTGCCAAGCCCCCAAGTGACAGCACTGCCTGTGCCTGACATCCCCAGACACACAGCAGGTGTGCAGATTTATGTTTGTATAGCGATAGATACAGATATTGGTATATAGATAAACATGACTACATTAAACTTATATATGATCATTGCTTCCCAGAAAAATGATGACTATATTCTTTGAATCTGTTTCCGTGCATATGCATATATCTGTATTATATATATATGTATCTTGTACACTCATTCATATATATAATACACACATTTTTATATATCTATAGTTACATATAAATTATATATGTGGGTATATATGCTTGTTTATATTTGCTTATATATTGATGTATTATATTATGTAAAACCATATGTGGTCAAATATAGTTATTGGTACAGTGATAAACAAATATGGCTGTGGACCACATCCCCTATAAATACGAAATTTAACATAGGGCAAGAATGAATAGATTGAAACAGCAGGTACATGTGTGAGCACGTGGAGATCCACATGGGGCTTGGGGGGCCTACCTGCTCATTTCCCGCTTCCTCTTGTTCCTGGGGTCACCACCCTGGGCCTCCTTCCATCTGTGCCCACTGGCATCACGCTGCAGGAATTCCTGGCCTCCAGGTGCATGGATGATGCCATCTCAAGGTCCAGTGCCAGAGTCAGACATGCCGCTCTCATTTGCCATCAGTTCTTTCCATGTGACTCCAAGAGGGGCTCTGTACACACCCTGCAAAGAACTTCTCCCAGAGGAACTTCTCAGTGGTACTTTACACCTCTCCCTCTGACCCCCATTTGGTTTGAGGAACATTCGTTCTTCCTCCGGAGGCATGTTCTTCTCTCTCCTCAAACCTGTGAGAGGAAAATACATCCCAGGATCCCCAAATCACTAAGCCAAAGGGAAAAGTCAAGCTGAGAACTGAGAACTTAGGGCAAACCCCTTCTATTCAAAGTCATCTCTCTGCCCACTAAGATAAAGGCATATCTGATGGCCTCCTTTGGAGAGGCTAATCAGAAACTCAAAAACAAAAAAAATATGCAACCATTTGCCTCTTATCTACCCATGACCGGAAGCCCCATCCCAGCTTTGAGTTGTCCCACCTTTCCGGACCAAACCAATGTACATCTTACATACATTGATTGAAGCCTCATGTCTCCCTAAAATGTATAAAACCAAGCTGTGCCTCGACCACCTTGGGCGCATGCTGTCAGCACCTCCTGAGGCTGTGTCACAGGTGCGTGCCCTTAACCTTGGCAAAATAAACTTTCTAAATTAATTGAGACCTGTCTCAGATACTCTTTGGTTTACAAACCCTATTTCTTGAACTTTACATGTGAAATTTTCATACTATAGAAGTAGAGATTCTACCCAAGAGAAATGGAAACTTAGATCCACGCTGAGACTTCCTCGCAGCGTTACTGATGCCAGCCCATGACAAGGAGCCATACAAATGCCCATCACCTGGGGGGCGGCCAGACCCAGTGGGCTGCAGCCAATCAGTGGGGGCTCCAGTCATGAGAAACGCAGGTGAAAGAGGCTGGACCCAGTGGGCTGCATAGCCTATGATTCCATATATATGAAAGGTCTGGAAAAGGCAGGTATTTGGGCAGAGAAGTAGATTGAAGACTGCCGGGGCTGGGTGTAGGGTTGGGGATAGCTAAGAACGGGAGGGAGGGGGCTGACTGGGGGGGATGTCCTCAAACCGGTTTAGGGTGACAGCTCCACCACGGTAGTTACCAAAAATCACTGAGCTGTATACTTGGAAGGGGTGAATTTGAGGATACATAAAATATGCCTAAATAAAATGTTATCTAATACCAAAGCAGCAAGAAAAGGAAAAAACAACACATAGAGAAGTGACTCTCCCCGACGCCCACCCCCAGCTTCCACATCATCACCCACAGCCAGTCTTCCAAGCCTCGTTCTTCTGTTTTTCTTGTTTTTTTTTTTTCCACACTAGGTCTTGGTGGCCAGGTAAGCCCAGTGCCCAGAGTGTCAGCAGCCACTAGGCTAATCCTGCCGTCACATTGGACCGGGAGGGCCTTGCCGTCCCACCCTCCCGGGAGCAGGAGGAGAGATCTGCTCTTCATCCTCTGCTGAAGGTCGGGGCATTGAAAGTTGCTCTCTAGGAGGTTCTGTTCATCTGCTCTGGGGGAGGCAGACACGTGTTGCCATCAGACTTCTAACGGGAGTCCCGTCCCAAGGCTCCCTGGCAGGGGAATGGCACGCGGCCGTGGTGAGCAGCAGCACAGAGAGCAGGCAGGTCTGCTGGGAGCAAAGGCTGTGGGGAGGGGAGTGGCTGCTGGGCAGAGGCTGGGTCATGGTCCGGGACCGGCGTTCAGGGAGCAGAGAGGCCTTAGCGAGGCCACCGGGTGAGGGGCTTCTCCCCGGGTACTCACTGAAGAAGGGCAGAAGCTGCGTGCAGAATGAGGGTCCAGGTGCAGAAAGCGGCCCTCTGCAGCCTAAGGCATGGCAGTACTGGGCGCAGGGACCAGTCTCCTCAGTCCTGGTGTTTGCTAGCCTCAGTGCCAAGAAAGGGGGTGGCATGAGGACACCCCAGCTCCCACATCTGCATCCCAGAGAGCTTCATTTCACCATCCATGGTGCTCATAGCACGGAGAGAAACCTTTGCTCACAGCTCCTGGCTCCCTTACAAAGTCCAAAGGTCACCCTTAATTAGGGTACCTGGGACTGTCCTGGTTTTAAAACTGAATCTCCCTCATCTTAGGAGGGCCCATTAGTACTGATCAAACTGGGATGGTTGGTCACCCCGTTGCTAATGACCGGGATGTGGATTTTCCCGCCTCCTGCTATCAGAATCCAGTGTGGACACACACACTGAAAGGTGCCCACCACCAGCAGGGCCACGGTCAGCTGTAGGGCACTGCTGGCGATGTGGCCTCCCAGGCAGGATTCCATGGCATCTGCAGGAACCCCTTGGGGAGACATTTATGTCTGCACACGACAAATCCGAGACCCAAGGCGACTCAGGTAATATTGCCAGGAAAAAACACAACCCAGGTTTCCAACCAAATACCAGTACCCTTCCCCTGGAGCTGGGACATGTGTGCTCATAAGGCCATGGGGCTCATCTGGGTGAGACGCAGTGGCCAGGGCAGAGTCGGGCACCTTCTGCCCCGTCCAGGCTCCACCCAGCTCCATGTGTGTGGATGGATCTCCAGCTGCACCTTGGTGCTCTGTCTGTGGGCAAATCTTTCCCATGTATAAAACTGATGAAACTGAGATTCTATGAAAGTGGAAGAGGTCAGATTAGAACCCAGGCAGTTCCAGGTGCGTGTGTGTGCATGCGCATGTGTGTTATTTTTAGTAACTTTACCGAGTGGCACCTGTCACCATACATGGGTTTTAGAACATCTTCATTTCCAAGGGCCCGCTTCCCTCATGTGTCAGACAGATGGCTCTGTGGAATTCATTTCCTTTGAAAAGCAGTGATTTTTGAAGGAACATTGTTATGAAGGCGGCCACCCGGCTGTCCCTCATGCTCTGAAGTAGGCCTGCAGCTTCCACTTTCACCTGCAAGTGCCAGGGCATGGATTCTAAGTAAAGTCTAAGATGCCAGAGGTCGTGTGCCTCCCCAGCATCCTACCCACAGCCCACCCACATCACTGAGAAAACCAGACCTCAGGTCTTCCAGCAAAGCTCCTGAAACATTCCTTGTGCACCCCGCTCCCAGCCACAGTCATAACAATGCTACTATCTTCTGGAGTGCCAAATTGGGGTCATTCCTCTGTAACAGCCACATCCACTACAGCATAGGGAGAGACCCCCAAGACGCCTCCTGGAAGGGCTCTGAGCACGTGTCCACCAGCCTCCTCCTCCTTTGAGATGTCTAAACAGCCATCCTATTTCTCTACAGCACCCACCAGGCAAGCTGCTACATTACTTGATTGCTCACTCCTGGGCTCTCTCCCCACTGCATGGCACGGAGGCTGTGTTTTCTTTCCTGACATAGCTCAACACCTAGACCAGTGCCTTGTCCACAGTGTAGACGCACAAATGTGAGTGTCGAATGTGCAGATCCGCACAAGTCAGTTCTTGGATTGCAGAAAGCACCTTGGAGAGCTGTGAAGGTGCTGTGGGTGGTGTGATCTATTGACAGTCACCGCTTCAGACATTCTATGGTGGAAGTGTTCAAATAGACAGAAAAAGTGAAAGCATTTTGCAATGAACATCCCTAGCCCATCGCCTGGTCTCTTCATGTCTTTCTCCCCTTGGGCATCACTGATCACTCCATCTGTCTGTGTCTCTAGCCTTTCATCAATACATCTTTTACTTTACGCATTCAAAGTAAGTAGGAGACATCAGTGCCTTTCTCCCCAAGTATTTTTGCATAATTAACTAGAGCTCAACAGTTGGTGATGGGCCTTTCTGCAAGTTCTGCATTCAATGAGATGAATAGATTTCCTTCTTTCTTCATCAGCCCAGCTAGAGGTTTGTCAATTTTCTTGATCTTTTCAGAGAACCAATTTTAGCTTTATTCTCTACAGCTTTGCTTCTCTCTACTGCACTTCATTATCCCCTTCCTTTTGCTAAGCTCTTGTTGAGTTTACTTTTCTCTATCTCCTGAAGGTGTACAGTTAGGATATTGATTTGAGACCTTTCTTCTTTTTCAGCATAGAACATGGACAGCTGTAAGTTTTTCTCTGAACCCTGTCTTCACTGCTATCCATAAGTTAGTCATCCGATGAGTTTCAACCAATCCATGTGCCCACATAATCCAAACCCCTCTAAAGACACAGCACCTGCCACCACTCTAGAACGTTCTCTCAGACCCCTTCCTGGTCAAACCAGACCCCCGGAGGCAAACACTGTTCTGCTTGCATTCATTGTAGATTAGCTGTACCTATTCTAGAGCTTCCCATGACAGGATCATACAGTGTGCACCCTCCGATGTGAGGCTTCCTTAAGTGGGCACAATGGTTTTGAGATTCACGCACTTTTTTGCATGTCGGCAATCTGTTCCTTTCTGTTGCTGAGCAGTATCCTGTTGTATGGGTATTCCATAGGATGTTCACCTTCCTCTGTCTGTGGAGGAGTATCTGGACTATGTTTAGTGTTTGGTTTTTATGAACACAGCTTCTAGAACATTCTTGCCCAGGTCTTTTGGTGGAATTCCCGTATTATAAAGTAGGGGAGAGTTTAGTTTTATAAGACAGTCATTTTTGATAATAGAGAATATCTTAATGATCTCTTCTAACACTCTTGTTTGGAAATCATTTCATCTCTTTGTCCTTTAGTTTCCTTGACCCTTAGTTACTGAGCTTTCAGCTAGAACAGTTGTGAAAATTATAAAATTCATTTGCTCTACAAATATCCAAGAGCATTTCCCATGTGACAGGCCTAGCACTTGGCTGCAGACACAACATGCTGAGATTCGGTCCTCGCCCTCGGAGGTCCCTGCGGTGGGAGGGAGTCAGACCCAGCACGCCAGCCCACAGCGGAGGCCAGACCTGAGGTTGCTCAAAACTTGGCAGCTACAAATTGTGATGCCGCAGGGAGTCCTTCTGACCTTCAGGAAGTGGCATCTTAAGGTCACCTTTGGTGGCATATGGTTCTTTGTTTTAGGAAATAACTTTAACGGGTCTAACAATATTATATTCTGCAACAGAAAAGTTTTAGTCTACAAGGAGCTAAATTGCTTCGTGTAATGAGGTAAACAGCCATCTTCCTAGTGGTAGAATTGCATTTATGTTATGTTTTCTTTAGGAAATTTATTCTAAATATGGATGTAATTGACACTGTTCCTGAAATTGGCTGTTCTTAGATGTGAGGGTGTATGTGTATATTTGTGTGTGAATGTATTTACGTGTGTGTTTGAGTGCGTGTGTGAGGGTGTATGTGTGAAGCATATGTGAGTGTGTGTGTATCTGAGTGGGGTGTGTGGAGTATGTGAGTGATTGAATGCGTGCATATGAGTGTGTGGGTTTATGTGCACCAGAGTGGGTTGTCTGTGTGTTTGTGCAAGAGTGTGTGCGCATGAGTGTATGTGTGAGTGGGTGTGCGTGTGTGCACGTACATGTAAATGTGTGTGAGTGTGGATGTGAGTGTATATAAGTGTGAGTGTATATAAGAGTGTGTGGATGTATGTGTATATAAGCGTGTGTGGCTGTGAGTGTGTGTGTCAGAGTGTATGTGAGCGTGTCCGAGTGTGCACATGCAACTGTGTGTAGGAGTGTATACAAGTATGTGTGCGAGTGTGGGTGAGTATATACATGTGTGTGTGTGAGTGTGGGTGTGAGTGTATACAAATATGTGTAAGTGTGGGTGTGAGTGTATATGTCTGTGTGCGTGTGTGGCTGAGTGTATATAAGTATATACGTGTGCCTGTGTGTGTGTCTGAGTGTGCACATGCACATGTGTGTGTCTGTGCCCGAGTGTGTGTGGGCATGTGTGAATGTGTGAGCGTGTGTGCATTCACTTGCGCGTCCTTGTTCAACAGTGGCCGCAGGGAGGAAGGGCAGAACTTTCTTGCTGGCAGGGATGGGGCTGGGCCTGGGCCGGGGCTGGGGCCGGGGCTGGGCTGTGGCTGGGGCTGGGCTGGGGCTGGGCCGGGGCTGGGCTGGGGATGGGGCTGGGGCTGGGCTGGGGATGGGGCCGGGGCCGGGGCCGGGGCCGGGGCCGGGGATGGGGCCGGGGCCGGGGATGGGGCCGGGGCTGGGGCCGGGGCTGGGGCTGGGGCCGGGGCTGGGGCTGGGGCCGGGGCTGGGCTGGGGATAGGCTGGGCTGGGGATAGGCTGGGCTGGGGATGGGGCCGGGGCTGGGCTGGGGATGGGGCCGGGGCTGGGGCTGGGGCCGGGGCTGGGCTGGGGATGGGGCCGGGGCTGGGGATGGGGCCGGGGCTGGGCTGGGGATAGGCTGGGCTGGGGCTGGGGCCGGGGCTGGGCTGGGGCTGGGGCCGGGGCTGGGCTGGGGCTGGGCTGGGGCTGGGCTGGGGATGGGGCCGGGGCTGGGCTGGGGATGGGGCCGGGGCTGGGCTGGGGATAGGCTGGGCTGGGGATGGGGCCGGGGCTGGGCTGGGGATAGGCTGGGCTGGGGATGGGGCCGGGGCTGGGCTGGGGATGGGGCCGGGGCTGGGCTGGGGATGGGGCCGGGGCTGGGCTGGGGATAGGCTGGGCTGGGGCTGGGGCTGGGCTGGGGCTGGGCCGGGGCTAGGCTGGGCTGGGGACGGGGCCGGGGCTGTGGCTGGGGCTGGGCTGGGGCTGGGCTGGGCTGGGCTGGGGCTGGGCTGGGGCTGGGCCGGGGCTAGGCTGGGCTGGGGATGGGGCCGGGGCTGTGGCTGGGGCTGGGCTGGGGCTGGGCTGGGGCTGGGCCGGGGCTAGGCCGGGGCTAGGCCGGGGCTAGGCCGGGGCTGGGCTGGGCTGGGGATGGGGCCGGGGCTGGGCTGGGGCTGGGCTGGGGCTGGGCTGGGGCTGGGCTGGGCTGGGGCTGGGGCTGGGGTTTGGGGTTGGGGTGCGGCAGGAAGAGGGGATTGCAGCCTCCTGCATGCTGTGGCTGACAGAGGTGGGATGGGCTGGGCATTGGTACGGGGAGGGGTGATGAGTCCTGGGGTCGTTGTGTGGTGGCGGCAGCGGGGCCCCGGGGCCTGCAGCTCTGTGGAAGTGCCGGGCTCCACTCCCTGCCCCCCGTGCCCTGCTGCGACCTGGAGAGAAGCACTCAGGAGCCTGACTTGCCTGCAAGGGAAAAGCCATGTCTCCTTTTCCGGGTATTTCACTGGCAAGAATTTGAGGGCGGGAGTCAAAGGCTTTTTCCACCGCTAGTTTTGTTGCGTCCATTTTTCAGAACCTGTGAAGGAACCAGGTTCACGTGACTCCGATGACGTCAGAGCTCCTGCCTTGAAAGACCCGGTGCTTTTGAGGATGGGCTTGTCTGTGTCGCTGGGCGCCACATTCCGGAGGCCGGAGGGGAGAGGGAAGAAGCGAGGCGCTGGGTTGGGGGGCGTTGGGTTGGGGGCTCCTGGGGGTCCTGCCTTGTCCTCAGGGTGGAGGGTGGGAGGAAGACCCCGAGTGTCTGCCCAGCTCACCAGCACCTATCGGGGCCAGTGGCCAGTCCTGCTGCCCGCCTCCCTGCCCTGACTGATCGCACCTGTCAGGGTGTGAGCCCTTCCTATCTCAGGGTGCCCGACAAAGGTGCAGTTCCAGGTCCGAGCACACAGGGGCGCGTTGACCCAAACACAGATTGGCCAACCAGCCATGCGTGGCATCCCGTGTCCTACCGAGACCAGCGACTGCCTCCTACCCTCCTCCCGTGGGCATCGGAGCTTGAGCAAAGCCGGGAAACCAGTCCGTCCCCCAGACACTTTGCTGCCTCCACACAGGCCTTGGGGTACCGACAGACATCACTGCCTCCACGCGACCTCACCAAGGAGACGCAGCCCGGGGTGGAGAGAGCAGGGCTCAGGCCCAGGGGCAGCCGGGACTCCAGGCTCTCCCAGTGGTCTGGGCTGCGGCCTCCTCGCTGCACTGCCCAGTGGGGACCCAGGTGACAGACCACGGGCAGAGACCACAGCCCGCTGCCCACCAGGGCTGGCCCCTCTGGAGTCTCCTCCTTGGAGCCAGCTCCGGGCTCTGGGACCCGCAGGGGTGCTCCTGGTCCCTCTGTTCATGCACTGGCATCTTCAGAGAGGGGAGCCAGGCTCCTCCTGCCGGTCTGTGCCTGCAGACATCCTCTTGCATCTCCAAGGCAAATTCTAGGGTGAACCTGGAGTGATGGTCCCAGGACCATAGCATCAGGGATGCCCAGAGAACCCTCCCAGTCCTCATTCTCCGAGAGAAGTCCTCGCCTGCACAGCTCCCATGACGCGACCCACCCAGGCTCAGCCATCCTGCCCCATGCTGCCTGGTCACACTTGGCCACCAGCCCAGAGGGGCCCTGCCCCCGGCCCGTCCCTGCCGACAGTGCCCCTGAGGTCAGAAGGCAATCCAGAGGCTGTGCTGGCCAGCCTTTTGCTTCTCTCTAGAGTCGACCCACGCTGCTGGCCTCGGCAGAGTCGGTGGGTTCCATGGAAGCCGTCTGCTCCCAGTTGGGAGCTGGCTGTCACTGCAAGGCAGCACTGGCATTAAAGAGGCAGTTGGCAAGCAGGGCCCAGACTCGATGCTGAGTGCCCAGGGGTCTTGGTGTTCACCCACAGGAGCAGCTGTCTTCAGGGCCTTGCTGGGGTGGGTGGACCTGCAAGGCCTCCAGAACCCCCACCCGTGCCGGCTGCCTGCAGCTCGAACTGTGCAGCTGGAGGGAGCGAGGCTCAGGCTCCGCATTGTAATTCCACCGCTACTGCGCCCCGCTGCTGCGCCCCGCTACTGCGCCCCAGAAGGCATATTTTATTTATTGGACAGGGCAGGAACAATTTATGAGCAATCCTCCAGCTCTGCACCCCTTGGTGGGAGGGGAGCATCACCAGCTGCAGGCTTTTCGCAGGTCCCGGGTGGCTACAAGCATCTGTCACGTGACGACGCACTCTCCAGGCTACACACAGCAACGGCTTTCTCCTGGCCCCGGCAGGGGGCCCTGTATGAGTGCCGGCACTGGAGGCTCCAGGACAAGCCCAGCCCATGCACCAGCCCAGGGAAATTCACCTCTCAGGCCGCCCCCACTCCTATTTTAGGTGTATCCTAGACCATAAGCAGCTACTTTGGCCTGGTTCTCAGAGAGACTCCTGGAGAGCATGGCCCAGATATTCAAGTTCTGAGCCTGGGGGCCGGGATCCTGGTGCGAAAGACACTGGCCTCCGGTCCATGTGTAAATGGGGCATTTCCTGTGCTCCAGGGCAAGCCAAACCTGACCCCAGCCTCTGCATGCTCCTGCATAGGGGAGGTGGCTGGGGATCCTGGGGGAGGCCCTGGCAGACTGCGGCTACCCATGGGGGGCCAGTTTCACCCCTCACAATGGAGTCATCCCCCAACCAGCCTCAGTCTCCTCATCGGTAAAGTGGGTGCCACAACCTGGCATGCCCACTCCCAAGACTCCAGAGAAGGCTCAGCAGAGGGGTGGCCCTAGGTGTGCACTGGCAAGACAGTGGGCCCCCCAGCCCCCTCACCCCACCGCCTCTGCCACACATGCAAATGAGCCTTTTACTAGAGATGAATATCATCCTTCCAGTTTCCTGCTTGCCAGGAAAGGCCCACACCGATGAAGCAAGAGCCGATGACAGCTTCCCAGACTGTTTCTGGCCTTCACTCTGCACCCTGGGCTCTTCACTTCACTGGCTCGGTCACCTGTGGGTGACAGGACCAGGCCTGACCCGCCCCCATGGCTCACCAGGGACCTAGGACAGGGCTTCCCAGAGGCCACTGTGTTTCCAATACTATCTGCATCTGTATGGTTTGGCTCCGTGTTCCCACCCAAATCTCATCTCAAATTGTAATCCCCACCTGTCAAGGGAGGGACCTGGTAGGAGGTGATTGGGTCATGGGGGCGGTTTCCCCCATGTTGTCCTCATGATAGTGAGTGAGTTCTCACGAGATCTAATGGTTTCATAAAGGGCTTTTTCCCGTTTTGCTCAGCACTTCTCCTTCCTGCCACCATGTGAAGAAGGACATGTTTGCTTCCCCTTCTGCCATGATTGTAAATTTCCTGAGGCCTCCCCAGCCCTGTAGAACTGTGAGTCAATTAAACCTCTTTCCTGTATAAATTACCCAGTCTGGGGTATGTCTTTATGGCAGCATGAGAATGGGCTAATACAACATGACGTGTTGCTGCCTTCATTCAGCCTCAGCCGCCACCAAGGGAGAAACTAAGCATCAGAGAGGGGGCAGTGACTTGGCCAAAGTCACACAGCAGTTCCATAAGAGCTAAAGCAGGAGCCACCCTTCCCTTTCCCCCAGAGGTGTAGTGTGGAATGGGGTCCCCTTCCTTGAGGCCTGAGCTTTGGCTGGGAGTTGAGTTGGGGAGAAGATAGGCTGTTTTTTAAACTTTTTGCTCCACTGGTAGAGATTAGGCGCTTAGAGAAGGGATGGGCTGAAGCTTTTTGTGAATTAGCACACTCCAGCCATTGACACGGGGCCTGGACACTGCCTTCTCTCCATCCGTGTTTGCTGTCTGTGGGCCAGCATGAGTCTCTGTGAGGATTGGGGCTAAGGACATGGATTGGAGGGACCAGACCTGCTGTAGAGCTGGACTGCCCCGTTCACTATTCCAGGGTCCTGAACCCCTCCACTCCCTATTCCAGGGCTCTGAACTCCTCCACTCCCTATTCCAGGGCCCTGAACTCCTCCATTCAGTGTTCCAAGGCCCTGAACCCCTCCACTCACTATTCCAGGGTCCTGGACTCCTCCATTCACTATTCCAGGGTCCTGAACCCCTCCACTCACTATTCCAGGGTCCTGAACCCCTCCACTCACTATTCCAGGGTCCTGAACCCCTCCACTCACTATTCCAGGGTCCTGAACCCCTCCACTCACTATTCCAGGGCCCTGAGCCCCTCCACTCCCTATTCCAGGGCCCTGGACTCCTCCACTCCCTATTCCAGGGCTCTGAACTCCTCCACTCCCTATTCCAGGGCCCTGAACTCCTCCATTCAGTGTTCCAAGGCCCTGAACCCCTCCACTCACTATTCCAGGGTCCTGAACCCCTCCACTCACTATTCCAGGGTCCTGAACCCCTCCACTCACTATTCCAGGGTCCTGAACTCCTCCACTCCCTATTCCAGGGCCCTGAGCCCCTCCACTCCCTATTCCAGGGCCCTGGACTCCTCCACTCACTATTCCAGGGCCCTGAACCCCTCCACTCGCTATTCCAGGGCCCTTAACCCCTCCACTCAATATTCCAGGGTCCTGAACTCCTCTACTCACTATTCCAGGGCCCTGAACTCCTGCGTTCACTATTCCAGGGGCCGTGGACTCCTCAGTTCACCAATCCAGACCCCTGGACTCCTCTACTCAGTATTCCAGGGGCCTGAACTCCACTCACTAGTGGTCGGCCCTGGACACCCCCACTCACTATTCCAGGGGTCTGGACACCCCGTTCACTATTCCAGGGGCCTGGACTCCTCCGTTTCCTGTTCCAGGGCCCTGGACTTGAGTGTCCTTCTGCTGCAGGTCTGCCAGGTGAGGCCAGTGTCCCTCCCCACCCTCCCAGGCTGCAGGGTTCCCGAGCATGAATCCTTCTTCCTTCTTTTGACTGGGGAGTGGGAATGAGAGAGCTCAGTGCTGGGGGCTCCCAAGCCTCGAGGGTGCCGGGGAAACACAGGGTCCCCAGGTGGAGCTCTGGGTTTTGCCCCATGCTGGTCAGAGGTCCTGAGAGCAGGGAGCACTCTCACCCGCTTCAGGAGGGGTGGAGGAGCACAGGAGGCATTGCCAACGTGACCACCCCTGCCACCCCGGTGGTTCACAGCTGTGCCCAGCATGAGGCTCAGGCATCACCCAAGGACTCTTGGGGTCAGAGCCCATGCCTTTAGGAAGCCACCCAGCATGGGAGAACTTGAGGAGGGAAACCTGTGTGTGTCCCCTTGCAGGAGCCGGCTTGTATCCCTCCAGGTCCGTGCTCTGGAGAGGCTCTGGAGAATTCCCTGTGGGTCCAAGGAGGCAGGATGGGTGCCTCACTGGCCTGGCAGGGAGGAGGCTGGAGGGCAGCAAGGATGGTAGAGGGTGAAGGTGGAGGATAGGAAGGAAGGTTGAAGGTAGAAGGTGGAGGAAGGAGAGGGTGGAGGGTGGAGGGAGGAAGGAAGGTGGCAGGTGGAGGGTGGGAGGGTGAGGTTGTAGGTGGAGGGTGGGAGGTGAAAGGTGAGAGGTGGAGGGGAGGAAGGAGGGTTGGGGGTGGAGTGGGAGGGTGGGAGGTGGGAGGTGGAGGGTGGGAGGTGGAGGGTGGGAGGTGGAGGGGAGGAAGGAGGGTGGGAAGAAGACCTCGAGTGTCTGCCCAGCTCACCAGCACCTATTGGGGCCAGTGGCCAGTCCTGCTGCCCGCATCTCTGCCCTGCCTGATTGCATGTTTCTGAGTGTGAGCCCTTCCCGTCTGTCTCATGACCACAACCCTCCTCCAAACTCTGCTGTAGTCTTCTCTGTAGGGAAACACGTTTGGCATATGGGGGTCACACCTTACCCGTACCCTGGGTCCTTCCTTCCCAGCAGCCTTGGCACAGAAGAGTCAGCGCTCTGGAGGGCACAGGGGGTCACTGCTCAGCCCTGGGGTCTGGAAGGCCCACTGGAGCCAGGAGTGCGCTCCCAGTGGCCACCAGGAGCCTGGCCGAGGTCTGAGTGAATGCACCGCACATTGGAATGTAAACAGGCGGGCACCTGGTGATTGGTCTACTTAAACCCAAACAGGACCCCAACGCCCTCCACGACCCACAAGATGCACTCTGGGGCTGAGATGAAGGCCCACACACCCTCCAGGCCCAAGCTTCCCTCTTCTTGTTCCACTGTTCCTCCGTCGTCTCCCTGCTTCCTGGCTTCACCAGCAGATGCTCCCCCAAACCCCATGGTGGGAAAAGCTCAGGAATGAATCAAGGACGAATCCCATGGGACTCTGTGGGAGCCACATCTTGGGTGTCATGATCGCAATGCAAAGCAGGCAGTGTCCAGGGCGGGCAGGACAATGACTGTGGACATCCAGGGGTGGGTGGTGATCCTGTTGGGATGAGGATACAATTAGGAAAGGCAATGAGACCCTTGAGGAAGGGCAGGACTCAGGAAGATAGGACAGGGGCTGGGAGCCTGGCTGCAGAGACCAGCAGAAACAAAGCAGGAGAGGTCACCCAGCCGGGAAGCAGAGAGACCCGCAGAGGCTGGAGCAGGGCCAGGGGGAGCAATGGGGAATCCAGAACCTACCATCGATGAAGCGATAAGACCGTCGGGCAGGACCAGATGTGAGGTAGACAGATGTGGGAGAAAAGAGACATAATTATCAGCATAAGTAAAACGACAATATCTAACTTTTTGAGCACAGATGAAGCCCCAGGTGTGGTGCCGAGGCTTTACACACAATATCTCATGGACCATAGTATTATTCCCCTTGTGCAGACAAAGAAGCCTCCGCACAGAGAGGGCAGGGGAACTCCCCAAGTTCTGTTGCAGTTCTGAACTCCCTAACAGCTGTTGGAGAAGGTGCAGAGCCCCATGAGGAGCACACAGTCGTGGCTGCAGTACCGCACAGAGAGGTCAGGGGAACTCCCCAAGGTCACACAGCGGTTGGAGAAGGTGCAGAGCCCCATGAGGAGCACACAGTCGTGGCTGCAGTACCGCACAGAGAGGTCAAGTTCAGGGGAACTCCCCAAGGTCACACAGCAGTTGGAGAAGGTGCAGAGCCTGTGAGGAGCACACGGTCGTGGCTGCAGTACCGCACAGAGAGGTCAGGGGAACTCCCCAAGGTCACACAGCAGTTGGAGAAGGTGCAGAGCCTGTGAGGAGCACACGGTCGTGGCTGCAGTACCGCACAGAGACGTCAGGGGAACTCCCCAAGGTCACACAGCAGTTGGAGAAGGTGCAGAGCCTGTGAGGAGCACACGGTCGTGGCTGCAGTGCTGCTTCCTCCAGTGGTGGTCACAGCTTTCTTCCCGTGGACGCCTCTGAAGCCCACTGGGTAAACTCACGGCCTCCATTTGATGCTGGGGAAATGGAGAAGCAGGAAGCCCATGTGATGTCCAGGGTAGAGGGCTGAAGGGGCTGGGGCTGGTCTCAGTCTGTTTGGAGAGCCGCAGTCAGGGCTAACCACCCACCTTCTCCATCAGCTTGGGGTCCCATCCACACCAGCAGCCCTCCAAGCCTGCCTCCTGCACCTCGGCTTCCTGCACCACTGGAGGAAGCTCCAGAGTGAGCCCGGCACACCACCCTGTAAATCCAGCCTCGCCCCAGGCCCCCAGATTTCTTTCTACCTCACCCAGGGATCAAGAAAGAGCTTTAATGACACGGTCCCTTCCAACGCCAGCAGCAATGATCCCAGGCAGGGAAGTTCTCATCCCCAAGGACCCCGGGAAGCGGAGTGTCAGCGGGTCAGGGTGGAACCCCTGAGCCAGGGCACCCCAGCTGAGAACCCCTTTCCCTTGCCACCCCGAGGGCTGCCCTGGCCTCTGGCACATGGCTCAGAGCTGACCAGCCTGGCAGGGCCTATGCTCACCTGTGGCAGTGCCTGCCTGAGGCTTTGGGGCTAGGAGTTGGACCCGTCCTCCTCCTCAGGTAGCACCTCCCTGCCCACGGCCTCACCAACCTCTCTGCCAGAAGGCCCTGGGACAGGGTGTGTCTCCAAATACCCACTGGCCTGATCTCCTTCAACCCCACCCCACGAGCAGGACTGTCCCAAAGGGCTGAGCTGCTGTTCAAAGTCACACAGCTCAAAGGTAGGACTGGAAAGGAGGTGGCCCCACCCCGCCTCCCTCTGCCCCACCCGGTGCTCCTCAGGTCCTAGCAGCAGGGGAAGCGCTTGTGAGAGGCCAGGTTTCCCCACGTACGAAGGACCGAAGGTGCCCTGGGATCCCGACAGGCTTCCCCTGGGATTCAGACAGCCCCGCCCTCAGGTTAGACCCCGCAGCCCCCAGGGGACCCTCGGAGCTGGCTGGAGCTTCCCCCACCCACAGCAGGCCCCAGGTCCTGCAGGAGGCTGAGCCCACCCAGAGCTCCAGGGGCCCGACCCACCTGGCCTGGTCTCCCGGCCGCGTTGGCGGTTCTCCGACCTTTTTCTCAACATAAGGGAACGTTCCATGGGCAGGTGTCAGGCAGTTGTCAGGCAGGGCATTAGGAACATTAAGGACCCAAGAGTTTGAAAAACTGATGCTGAGTGTGACAAAATGAAAATCGCAGGAAGGTCTTGATCTGGTGAGAAGGTCTGGGCAGAACTGGTTTCAGCCAGTGAATTCACAAGCTGCTTCACACCTCAGCCCCATGCCCGATGGCACCTGAACGCCAGCCCCAGACTGCCCCTGTGAGATTAGATCAAACCTCTGAGCCTGATCAACCTCCTGGCCCGTGGCTGGGTCTGTGCTGGAGAGGGGAGAAAACTGCCCAGTAATGATCGCGTTTCATGGGTGATGAGAGTCCCATCGTTTCATGGGTGATGAGAGCCACGTCGTTTCATGGGTGATGAGAGCCCCGTCGTTTCATGGGTGATGAGAGTCATGTCGTTTCTGAACGTAACAGACGGAGGTCCGTGCTGAAAGAACACTTTTCAAGACAGGAGCAGAATCATCTTGCTAATGCTTGTGTGATCAGGCAGGCAAGGAAGGAAGGGGCTGCAGGCACTGGCCTGGGGTCAGGAGCACGGCCACTGTCTCCATGAGACGGGACCACACGGCAGCACCTCTGACCTCCACACAGCCACTGGGGCCTTGGGGACTGGCGCTGTCTCACAGTTCTCAGCTGTCTCTCTACATCCTCCGCTCACAGGTCCCCCTCCACACACACGCATGTTCCCCTCCTGCGTAGTAACAGTTCCAGCCGGGAGAGCGCGTGCTGGGGCCGGGGCTCGGCAGAGACAGCCCAGCGCCTCTCGGACAACTGTCCCTGCCTGTGCACAGGGAGCAGGCCCGTGATGGCCGACCTCAGCCCCAGTCATCCTCCTGGGACTCTTTCCACCAGCATTGATGGAGCGCCGCCAGAGCTACGCCGCGAGGAGGAGGAGAGCTGGACTTGCTGGTGCTGAACTCAAAGGCCCAGGGCAGAGTTGGATGCTAAAGCAGTCACTGCCTGTTGGCTCCCTTCTGCGAAGCAGCCAGGAAGACGGGAGGCCCACTGGACACCTGGCTCCTTTGCGTTTGTGCCCAGCTGGGCGTCCTGCAAAGCCAAGGTGCCCCTCCACTCATTGCCCTTGAAAATCACAGGGTGGGGGCATCTCGGGGAGGAGTCTCAAACAGGCAGGCTCTTCAGCCCTTTTAATCCCAGACGCCAGGATGCTCAGGCAGACGTGGAGCTGCAGTGCTGCCCGCAAGGCTGTGGAGTGCTCCTGCTTGCCATTGCTCTGAGTGGCCCTCTGAGGCCAGTGCTGTGAGCCTGTTCCACAGGTGAGCAGCCTGAGGTGGGGAGGGCCTCGGCTGCTCTGAGCCCCAGCTGCCTATTTGTAGAACTGGGTAATGAGAGTGTGGGTTGTCCTAGGGGTCAGATGAATGGACATCTGCGAGGTGCCCGGGAAGCACCAGCGGCCCATCACTGAGGCAGCCACTGAACAACAAGAAAGGGCAGGTGCAAGGAGCCCAGGGGTGAGGGTGTGGGTGGAGGTGAGCTCACCCGAGATAAACGGCTGGACCACATACACGCAGGTGCTAGCAGGACCCTGTCACCTGGTGACCCACATGGCAGACAGGACTCTGCCGCTCTGGCCCGGCTGCACTCTCTCCTCACTCACCCGACACCCACCTGATGCTGCACCCGGGTGGAGGTTGCTCTCTGTGAGAAGTGGGTGCCCTGGCCAGGGGCTCAGGCAGCCAGAGGATGAGGATGGCCTGTCGGGTGCTGGCTCCCCATAACCTCCCCTCCAGAAGCACAGTGGGCCCCTCAGGGCTCGGCACAGAAGCACTCTGCCCTGCACAGGGCCTGGCCCTCCCAGCAGGTGCGAGCCTGTCTGGGAACCCTGGGCTTTTGTTCGTGAGTGGCAGACGGCTCGTTAGGCCCGGGTAAAATGAAGCAAGAAAACTTCCTTGCTGGCTTATGCCCTCCGGCCGTGTGTGCTCCTCTGCTGTCTATCTCAGACCTGTGCCTGGTAAAACAAGCACCATGGTCAGACAATGTCCTGAGCCCTCACGAACTGCAGAGGGCACTGAGCCAGACGGGGTGGGCACTTCCCTCGGGGTTCAGCCTGCATCATGGCTCCAGCCCTGGATGCACGGGGAGGCAGAGAGGACTGGGAATCTCAGCCTTGGCGCACACCTGGGGCCACGCGGCCTCCACCTTCTCACTGCAGGATGGGGAGGCCAGGCCGGCCAGCCAAGGGGCTGACAGAGGAGGGCTGGTGTGGGCCAGCTGCTTGCTGCACAGGGAGTGCTGACCATCAGAGGCCGTGGGATCCCCACAGGGCAAGGCAGGCCTTGGCCACCCGCTATGCCTGAACACCAGCAGCTGTACCCTGGGGCCTGCCACCCCTGCTACTCTGGGCATGTTCATCACATGCTTGACCATAGCAAGGCCTCGACACCCAAGGGCTCAATCCTGCAGGTTCAGAGGCTGGACCTCTTCCCACAGATTGAGAGCCAGGCCCTGTCTTTCAGGTCAGCCTCATCAGCCAAACTCAGGAGACTGACGTACAGGCTTGGAAGGCCATGGTGCTGATGTGGGCGCAGAATTACAGCAGACCATGGGTGGGACTTCAGATGGGAGTCACTTCCATGGAGAAGCTTCCCATCGCTGTGGTGGAGCCAGGTGTCCCTGAGACCTCCCTTACCTCACGGGCAGGCCACATCGCAGGGAGCTGCATTACTGTCTTCTGATGTCCGCCCAGCTGATGGGGGTCGCAGTGGGGCTGTGTTGTCCTCACGGGCTTGTGTCCGGGTCTGCACAGCCCTGATCTCAGCTGTGGGCCCTGAGCCTGCCAAGAGATGAGCAAGTGCCTCCGTGTTCCCTGGGGAAGAGGTGCTGGAGGGCCCGTCTCCAAGAGCACCCTCCCCACACTAGCCGCAGGCGGGCTCTTCACATTCCTCATTCCCAAGCTGAGCACCGCCCCTCCGACAGGCCGAGTCTTTCTTTAAACACAACTGTTCCTCTTTGCTCAGGCTCCGGAACAGGCTTGCGGGCTCGTCTGCAATTTACTGTCACCTACAGGGGCAGATTCACCCAGTCCCTGAGTCCTGGGCACAGTGCTGCCCTCTGGGTGAACAGTTGACCCAGAGGAGCGGACGGGAGTGCCCCTGCAGGGGTGTGGCCCCCATGTCTGAGAGGCCTTTTGCAGGGCTCAGTTTGTGAGGTCAAATGCTCAGCTCTCACCCCAGGGTGAGGAGGATTCCCTGGAGCCAGCTGGAAGAGCACCCATCATAGAACAGGCAGCAGAGTCACGGTAGCTTAGGGACCCAGGAAGAAGACCCTTCCACACCAGGGCTGTCCACCAGGCAGGTGAACCCAACAAGGACCTAGGCATATGACCCCTTCCAGGACCCAAACAAGTAACCCCACCCAGGCCCAGGCTGGAGGCTGCATCCAGACTCAGGTGGCCCCATCCAGGTCTCAGACAAGTGACCTCCTCCAGACCCAGGCAGGTTACCCCATCTGGGACCCAGGCAGTGGTCCATGAAGTCATCCACACCAGGCACCACAAAGGTGCAAATGGCCGGTCCACACGCACGCCGGTGCTGGCAGGATCTTGTCACCTGATGGCCCACATAGTGGGCAGGACTCCGGCGCTCTGGCCAGCATGGACGCCACTCCTCCCTCACTCACCTTCTCCCTCCTGAAGCTGCACCAGGGTGGAGGCAGCTGTAGCCACAGGACGAAGAGGGCCTGCTGGGTGCTGGCACCCCGTAGCTGGGGCTAACATTCCTGTAATTAGCATGAGGAGAGGCCCCAGCTGCTCCGGAGCGCTGAAGGCAGGGATGGATGTAGCCTAATTGCCAGCTCCCTACACCTCCCAGGACTGCCCTCTATGCTCAGGGTCTGTGTGATGTGGCAACTCAGATGGCCCCACAAGGGTAGAGGTGTCCCTTCCCTCCTCAGGCTCCCCTGGTGCCCACTGCCCAGTCACTCCCATCAGCCTGTTTGAGGCAACCTGCTCCCCATTCTAGAGCCTCTGGGTAAATGAGCGCCTCTCCCAGGAAGGCTCCTGCAGTCTCATCTGGACTCAGGGCGGAACTGCAGGTAGGTTTCTGCATGGCACCTGTGGGCACAATCGACTGACTGTAACTGCCCAGGGCTGTTGACCTGCTGTAAACTCGGGGCCTCCTCCTGTCTCTGCCTTGTCTCCACCTGCATCAGCCTCTCCTGGCAGCGGGGAGACAGGCGTCGGGTGCCCACACAATTGGCAGGAGGGGGAGGAGCAGAAGCACTGGGATCCGAGGGCAGAAAGGCACAGATCGAGACATTCCCAGGTATGGCTGGGAAACAGTGGGCCAACCCCACATTCCCCAGGTAGGCTAAGTCAGCGATGCATTAACAAGGGGAAAATGAGCGTCATGACCTCCTACAGAGCACCCCACTCCAGAAAACTCCTACGGGTGGGTGGGAAGATGCCAATTAACCCAACCTCTCAATGGCTCCTTTTAGCCAAGTCCCTGCAGGCAAACACCTGCAGATGCCCACCTGGCTCCTGGGGAGAAAATTCCCTGCTGAGTCCCGTCCTTGGCCCCGGGATTCTCAGGGCAACAAGGTCTCCTTCCAACAGAGTGGGGACACAGCGGCAGCTCAGCCTTCCCGAGGCTTAAACTCGGCCAAGAGGAGCTCCTGGGGAGAGGCTCAGAGAAGCCAAGATAGGCGGGGTGAGTTTTCTCGGCACGGCCTCCCGGAGCAGCTGGCTAAGGAGAGACAGGGTTTGCAGGGCCCGGCCCAGCCCAGCATGGCAGAGCAGAGCAAAGCACGGGCAAGAGCTGAGGACCAAGCGCCCAAGAAGTGGCACAATAGCTTAGGGACCCAAGAAGAAGACCCATCCACACCAGGACTATCCACCAGGCAGGTGAAGCCAACAAGGACCTAGGCATGTGACCCCTTCCAGGACCCAAACAGGTGACTGCAGATGCTGCTCAGCTGGCGACTGAGCTCGCTCACACACACTCACACACCCTCATGCAAGCTCATGCAGTTATGCACACTCACACACGTACACTCGCACATGCTCACACACATGCATGCTCACATACATGCACACGTGCACACACAGCTCACACACTTATGCATGCTCACATGCATGTTTACGCACATGCACACACATGCTCACACACTTATGCACACTCATGCAGTCCTGGACACTCACACAAGTACACTCACAATGCTCACACACACGCTTACACTTATGCACACTCACATGCACACACATGCACACACATGCTCACACATGCACACTCATGCAGTCAAGCACACTCACACGTACACTCACAATGCTCACACACACTCACATGCACTCTCACACATGCACACACACATGCTCATACACTTATGCACGCTCATGCGCACACACAGTCACACACACACTTGCTCACTCGCATGATCACACACACATGCTCACTCACACACAGCTGCACAAGCAAGGGCCTGGTGCCTAGGGCAAGAGCAATCAGGAGGTGGGCAGTGGCCCCTCAGTGTTCTGGGCAGGACAACTTGGAAGAGCCACAGAGGAGCCTGGAGTTGGAGGTCTAGAGGTCCCAGTGTTGCACCTGACAGCTGGTGACCCTGGGGCAAGGCACTGCAGTTCCCAAGTCCCAGGGCAGCTGGGACTCATCCAGGGGAGTGTGCTACAGCCTCATGCCCTTGAGTCCTCTGCCACCTTTAATGTCCCCTGAAAGCAGTTTCCACAAGTACAGTAGAGGGCAGGGCGTTTCCTAAGGCATGCAAATCACAGGGTGCAAGAGGTACCACTGTGGAGCTGGCAGTTGGCCCTGGAAAGCAGGCCTGACATCCTCACGAAAGCCTTGTCCTGGGCCCAGCAGCCGCTCCCAGGGCCTTCAGGCTGTGCGTGCTTCTCTGGGCCCCCAGTGGGACCTGCAAGGCAAACGCATCCCTGCACTGCAGTTCTAGGACAGAGCAGGAGGCTTTCTGGACACACAAGTCCCAGCCCTTGAGAAGAGACCTCCAGCTTGGAAGTGTCCATGTGTCCCTCCTTTCCCTTCCATGTATTAGAGACATGGGCCACAATCTGTCCACTTTGCTGCGCCCGCCTTCTCCACCTGCCCCTCGTCTGTGCTGGCCACCGTCCCTGTCCACCTTCTGCCAGCTGGAAAGCAGGAGGCCGTGCCTCTCCGATGCCCAGCCCCCACTCCATGGCCCTATCACACACCAGACAGGAGAATGACAGCCGTCTTCCCCCATGTGCCAGCCCTTCAGCGCCCCTCCCCACCCCTCAATGCCCCAGTGTCCAGGTATTTCTCATGGGAGGGCATGGTGTCACCTCAGCTGGACTTTGGCCATCCCCACTGGGCCGAGTGCTGTCATGCACATGGAGCTGCTGCCCTCTCTGGGGCCTGCCTGATGATGTGGGCAGGCGGGTCACCCCCCGAGGCTCAGGTACCACCTGAGTGGGGCCGGGTCACTCAGCCCACAGAGATGCACCATCACTGACCACATCTCCTGCAGGGCCAGGTGTGTCCTCTGCTACAGCCAACACCCGGACACTGAGGCCTGCAAGGACCCTCAGGCCACCACCCTTAGCTGTGGGGTTGAGCATGGAACTCCCCCTGCACCTCAAGGCCGGGGCTGCCTCCCTCAGCTGTGGGAAACAAGGAGGCAGCTGGATGGGGAGACCTCCCCAGGCTGTGGAGCCCTCCAGAGCTCCAGGACCCCACCTGAATGGTGTGGGGTGCAGCCATCAGCTTCGAAGGCCAGTAGTCCATCCCAAATTCCAGCTCCATCCATCCCCAGTTGCGTGACTGTGGGCGGGTGCTGGACTCCTCTGAGACGGATCTCCTGACGGGCTGTTGACAGCTCCAGGCATCCACACAAGGTGCAGCGTGTGGCCCGGTGCTGCCGGGCTCTCATCCTGCCTGCCTATCCCGGGAGCAGGGCCCTCTGGCCCTGTGGAGCTGTGACAGACCAGATGGCTCCACAGGCGCTTTCCGCACCTCTCAGGCTGTGGGGACGTCTCTCTGCCTCTGTGGTCTCAGTCCAGGGTCCCATGCTTCAGACATCTCCTGGACCACCCATTTCCTGTCCTGCAGGGCAGCCCCAACACGTCCAAGCCCCCAGCCCCCACCTGTATATCCAGGAGCAGGCTCCAGAATCCAGGTGTCCCCGGAGCGACTCACTCTCTCTAGGCCTCAGTTTCTGTAACACTGGGGATTTGGACTACGTCACCTCTCAGGCCCTTTCTGGAGTGGAAATCCTCTCCGGTGCTGATGAGACGAAAAGCTTCACGTGCCCCTCTGAACAGTATTCTTTTCGATATAAATTAATCAAAAGAATAAATGAGATGAGGTTGCTGGGGCGGATCCTCATCTTAGGTTAGACTCTGAGGCGCGAGGTTTGTGAATCGTTGATCACACCAGGGCCTGGGTGGGGCAGGGAGAATGGGGCTGCTGCGTCACAGTGACAGAGGCCTCTGAAATCCGGTGAGGGTGCATTGGGGTTGCCCCAGCCCAATGTGGGGGTGGCTCTGGGTCCATCGCCGGCCAAGAGCTGCCCCCCAGGCAGGGGAGTAGCCTGGGGCAAGGCGACTTCACCTGACTGAAGGCAATTCCCAGAGACAACAGCTCCCCGGACATTACTGCAGAGCTCACTCCCTATCACAGGTCTCAGATGCAGGTGCTGAAGACCCAGAGTGGGTCCCTGGGACCCTGATGGGGCCTCTATTGAGAGCAGGAAGCTGCTACTCGGAAGAAAATGCCTCTCTGAAGGACTCACACACTGAGAATTATTTCCTGGAATTTTTCCACGATTGTTCTGCCCTTTCCTTGTCTCCACATAAAGGGAAAAAACCCAGAAATGACACCATCCCCACATGGGCCGAGGTTACTTTTTGAATCAATAACTGTGGGTCGGCCCCTCATCTAAGTCTGTTCCCTAGAGCAGAAGGAGGCCCCTGCCAGGGCAGGCCCTGCCTCTGCATCTCTTTGGCCATCTTGAATTCCTCTCGGGCCTGGGCCAGGCTCAGAGGCCCTTAGCTGGCACCAGGGTGCTCCAGAGGCCCTGCTCCCCAAGTCCAAGGCCATCTCCTGACACAAGGGAAGGGGCATGCCAGCTCTAAACCCGGCCACATTGTCATGGGGTCACCATTGGCTCATGTCCTAGCTCCCCTCCAAATCTCCCGATGCCAGCACCGCTGTTGCAGGCAGCCTCACACTGAGAGGGTCCACCCATGCCCCAGTTCCCCTCCAAACCTCCTGATGCCAGCACCGCTATTGCGGGCAGCCTCACAGCGAGAGGGTCTGCCCATGCCTCAGCTCCCCTCCAAGCCTCCCCAATGCCAGCACCACTGTTGCGGGCAGCCTCACATCGAGAGGGTCTGCCCATGCCCCAGCTCCCCTTCAAGCCTCCCCGATGCCAGCACCCATGTTGTGGGCAGCCTCACATCGAGAGGGTCTGACCTGCAGTTCTTCTGGGGACAGATTCCTTTTCTGAAATCCTGGATCAGGACTGAGACCAGGGCAGGAGTCCAATCTGAATGGAAACCCTGGCCGGGCCGGTGCGTTCTCCCTTCCAGAAGGCACTGGCGTGGGGCGAAGTCTAGGTTGAGGCACTGTGGTTTCACAGCTGAAATCCAACTCTGGAACCACTTTAAAGTGTCTAATGGGAACGGGATGGAAGGGATGCATGGCCCGGCTGCAAGGAGAGGAAGGGCCGTGGAGGCCGTGGCAGAGGAGCGGCTCCTTGTTCATCCTCCGACTCTACAGACCTGCCCAGCCAAGCCCTCCGGGCAGAAGGAGTCCAGCTCCGCCTGAGTGCATGTGCTTTGTTTGCTTTTGCTTATTTTTCCCAATCCAGACTCAACGAGCAAACCCCAAGGTGACTCCTGCCAGCTCAGGTTCAATCCTCCCATGTCCGTGGCTTCATGGTGTCCTCAGGACACCCCATGAGGTGAACAGTTTCATGTGGTTTATAGATGCAGGGGATGGCCACCCAACTGGACAGTCACCTGGATGGACGGACACCTGGATAGACGGTCACCCCGCCAGACAGTCACCTAGATGGTCACCTCGCTAGACAATCACCTGGCTGGGTGGACACCTGGATGGATGGTCAGCCAGCTAGACAGTCACCTGGATGGTCACCCATCTAGACAGTCACCTGGATGGATGGTCACCTAGATGGATGGTCACCTGGATGGACAGTCACCCGGCTGGATGGCCACCTGGATGGACGGTCACCTGGACGGATGGTCACCTGGATAGATGGTCACCTGGCTAGACAGTCACCTGGATGGATGTTCACCTGGATAGATGGTCACCTGGATGGATGGTCACCTGGATAGATGGTCACCCGGCTAGATAGTCACCTGGATGGATGGTCACCTGGATGGATGGTCACCTGGATAGATGGTCACCCAGCTAGATAGTCACCTGGATGGATGGTCACCTGGATGGACAGTCACCTGGACGGATGGTCACCTGGATAGATGGTCACCCAGCTAGACAGTCGCCTGGATGGATGTTTACCTGGATAGATGGTCACCCAGCTAGATAGTCACCTGGATGGATGGTCACCTGGACGGATGGTCACCTGGATGGACAGTCACCTGGACGGATGGTCACCTGGATAGATGGTAGCCTGGCTAGACAGTCACCTGGATGGATGGTCACCTGACAGACAGTCACCTGGATGGATGGTCATCTGGATGGATGGTCACCTGGATGGATGGTCACCTGGATGGATGGTCACATGGATAGATGGTCACCCGGCTATACAGTCACCTGGATGGATGTTCACCTGGATAGATGGTCACCCGGCTAGATAGTCACCTGGATGGATGGCCACCTGGATGGACAGTCACCTGGACGGATGGTCACCTGGATAGATAGTCACCCGGCTAGACAGTCACCTGGATGTATGTTCACCTGGATAGATGGTCACCCGGCTAGATAGTCACCTGGATGGATGGTCACCTGGATAGATGGTCACCCGGCTAGACAGTCACCTGGATATATGTTCACCTGGATAGATGGTCACCTGGCTAGATAGTCACCTGGATGGACAGTCACCTGGACAGATGGTCGCCTGGCTAGACAGTCACCTGGATGGATGTTCACCTGGATAGATGGTCACCCAGCTAGATAGTCACCTGGATGGATGGTCACCTGGATGGATGGTCACCTGGATGGACAGTCACCTGGACGGATGGTCACCTGGATTGATGGTCACATGACTAGACAGTCACCTGGATGGATGGTCACCTGGATAGATGGTCGCCTGGCTAGACAGTCACCTGGATGGATGGTTATCTGGATAGATGGTCACCCGGCTATACAGTCACCTGGATGGATGGTCACCTGGATAGATGGTCACCCGGCTAGACAGTCACCTGAATGGATTGTCAACCAGCTAGACCGTCACCTGGATGGATGGTCACCTGGATGGACAGTCACCTGGATGAATGGTCACCTGGCTAGACAGTCACCTGGATGGATGGTCACCTGGATAGATGGTCACCCGACTAGACAGTCACCTGGATGGATTGTCAACCAGCTAGACCGTCACCTGGATGGATGGTCACCTGGATGGACAGTCACCTGGATGAATGGGCACCCAGCTGGCTGCTCTGAGTACAGCTCTCACAAAACCTTTGCTTCCCCCCTCCAAGTTCACGACCTTTCCTCCACTCTTCCCTGCCCAAGCACTTCTAATTAATGTAACTTTGCCTAAGCTGAGATCCTGGGGTTCTTTCAGTACCTGTCCCAGGCAGTGGCAGGGCCAGGAGAAGGGAGATGGCTGAGTATAGGCAAATGTCTCTATGCCACACATATATCCATCCCGTTTTCCCAGCTGGAAGTCGCAAATCCTTTTCTTCCTGTTTTCAGATCTTCTGATGTGTCTTCAGATAGTGTGTGTAGTTCATGTAGTCATGTTTCTGTTTGGGAATTTTTTTTCCCTGGAAAATACTCAGGGCTCTGTCTTTAAATTGAGGGCATCTTAACGTCTTCGAAATGTGCTTTAGGGCTAGAAAGATTCCTGTTCAATCCTGGCCCTGCTGTTTACATCTGTGTGACCTCAGCAAATCATCTCACCTAGCTCAATCCTCTCCCACCTGTATTTTAATTTATGTGGAAAACAAAACATAACATCATCCAGAAAAGCCACCTTTCCTGTGGAGACAGCTGCCTTCCTCGGCCCCCTCGCGCCCTTGCCGGTGGTGCTGTGTGGCACGCCCTAACCCACGAAATGGTGGAGCCGCGGTGCCCGGTCTCACAGGCCCTGACGTCCTGGGGCCGCACACCTCACACAGCTCCCCAGGCATCAGTTCAGGCCTGCGCCTCTGGGAGGCAGTGAGAGAAGCCTGAGGGTCCGCAGCGATAGTCAGCTGGGCCCAGCTGCAAACATTCAGCATTGATCCTGCCTTGCCGCCCGCCCACCCGTGGCCCAGGACGAGTTGTTACCTGGCCCAGCTCGGTGTCCTTGCGCAGAACAGGATGCATCGCCCACGTCCTCAGGGGTCTGCTGTAGTGGTCAGAGGGTAGCACTGTACTGGCAACATCACAGCATGTCTAAATGTCAATTACTGCCATCATCATTCTTGTTTTTATTTGCTAGTGTTGATTAAAAGCTTGCAATCTGCCAGGCACTGCCACCCCCATCCATGGGCTGTCTCCGTGCTGAGAGATCTCAGTTTTACAGATGAGGAAACTGAGGTTCAGACAGCATAGGGCACCTGGGACGAGTCAGGGGCATGTGGGGAACCCATGAGTTCTGACTCAGAGCCCGTTCCTCACTCCAGGCCCTGACCACCAGCCCAGCTCAGGTGGAACTTGGGTGTGAGTTGAACTTCTCAGGTGCCTGGTGTGGAAGAGCCAGGATGTGGGCTTGAGGATGTGGGCTGTGCCTGCGTCTCCTTCTCCCTGAAAAGAAAAAAAATCCCAGAAAGCAAGACACTGGGCCCAGGGATGTCAAGTTCACGTGCTGCCAGAAACACTTCGGTGTGACTGTGAACGGCTGTGCCCCTTTCTTGCAGAGCAGCTGCCCTGCTTATGTGGCACCAAGAAAGTGAGAGAGAAGGTCTCTCTCTCAGCTCAGAACCACCACTTGGCAGGCCAGGCAGGCAGCTGTGATTCAAAACACACCCGTGGCTCTGGAAAGAAGAACTCCAAAGCCTGGGATGGCCTGGAGCAACACAAAGCCACTTGTGTGGTGTTTCCAATTCTCCTTTTAAAGCAATTATTAAGTTCATCTGAAAGTCAAATAAGAGCCACAAATCAAAAACAGAATTAACAAGTAACAGCGGGGCTGTGAAATTTGATCTGATGTGTTTTCAGGGAAGTGGGCGGAGTGCCCACTCACATCTGGTCAAGTTCAGCGTCACTGGAGGAACCGCTGGCCGGGGTCAAAACCTTCCGCATGACGGATCATGGAATTAGACGTGACATTCACAGGAACGACAGTGAGCCCTTGGCCAGTGAATGTCAGCTCTTTGCTTACGAAACTGTGATCCTTTCAGGAAAGCCAGACACAGGGTCCTCTAGGTTTGCCAGGCTTTGCAGGGCCTGTGTTCTAAGGCCCTTGAGAGGCTGGAACCTCCTTCTTCAACAAGCTCTCCCGTAGTGGTCGTCCAGCCCAGAGGGTTTTAGATCTCACACTGGTTGTTTGCTCCTCACTGAAACCCTGTTCACAAATTCCAACATTGCAGGGCCAGGTAGTAACTGGGGCAGGGAGCACTGAGAGTCCCCGGGAACTCCCCCAGTTCAGGTCCCCATGTCCCAAGAGAATAACATAAGATGGGCTCACATTTGTGCCCAGTGACCCCTTTGAGCAACACCCATTCCCTCTCGGCTTTGGTGTCTGTGCTGCTCTTGCTTTTAAGAAAAATGTTTCTACTCTTACGATTTTTCCCTCACTTTCCAAATGTTTTCTGTTATCCCCCCACACACGCACACCCTCACACATATGCACACACAAACACACACATACACACACACTCACATACATACACACATGCACACTGAACCAACATACACACGCATATACACGCACTCTCACACACATATACACACAGGCACACAGAAACACACACACACAAACACCCTCTCACACATATACACATACATGCATACAGAAATACACACATATACACACTCTCACACACATCTGCACACAC
Organism: Homo sapiens; assembly: GCF_000001405.40. Taxonomy (NCBI): domain Eukaryota; kingdom Metazoa; phylum Chordata; class Mammalia; order Primates; family Hominidae; genus Homo; species Homo sapiens. Next base: position 19,150 of record NW_011332689.1, on the reverse strand, counting down.
ACACACACAATCTCAAGGTGGGAGAGCAGCATCTAGACTCGGCCTGCCTGGTCCCCAGCACCAGCTCTGTGGTCACTCCCTGTGGAGAGACGGCACGGCCAGCAGGCACCACCCTCTGTCCGGCAACACAACAGCAGGCAAACTGTGCATGTGAGCAAATGTGTCCCGTACCCAGAATGCCCGCCAAGGTGAATACGAAACACCTGCAAAAAGCCAGCCCAGCGGGGCCTTCGCCCCTGGTCCAGGGGAGCAGAAGGGCCAACCTGAGGACCATTCTCGGGGACCTGCTCTGCTGTGGCCTCCTGGATCTGGCTTCCAGGGCTAGGAAACCTGGTGAAAAATCTCTGTGGGAGGATTGCGGGGCTGATGCTGGGCGAGTGCAGGGAAGGGAATGCAGAGGCCGGAGCCGGCTGGCATTACGGAGGCCGACTCTTCCCCAGCCTTTTGATTCCACGGCCCTGCAGCTCCTTTCAGAGTAAGATGCAGGACAGCCAGTGCTCCTGACTGTGAGCTGTGACCCAATATAGGCCTGCACCCCAGATGAGTGCTCAGGTGCTGCTTGTGTCCCCAACAAACACACTCTGCGCTGGGCACCCCCAGGACCAGGGAAGCACTGTTCACGGCAGTGCAAGCAGACTGCCCCGGCAGCTCCACATCTAGGGGAGAGGCAGGCAGCAAACCCGCAGATGAGCAAAGCAACAGTGTTGCCTCAGAACCAGTACCATGGAGAAACTGACGCCGGGAAGGGAGAGAGGGGCTGCTGGTGGGTCCACGGGGGCTACACTGTCTGACCAGGCGCCAGGCATAGTCTCTCTTCTGGGCTGGCAGGGGAGGGGCAGTGGCTGAGTGAGCCTGACAACGACCTGGGGGAGACCAGCAGCAGGGAGCACAGGAGCATGTCTGAGTGGCTGCCCCTGCCCCTGCGGGCCGACACTTAGATTCTGACTTTTTTTTTTTTTAGGTTGGAGTACAATGGCATGATCTCGGCTCACTGCAATCTCCGCCTCTGGGGTTCAAGCGATTCTCCTTCCTCAGCCTTCTGAGTAGCTGTGATTACAGGTGCGTGCCACCACACCCGGCTCATTTTTGTATTTTTAGTAGAGATGGGGTTTCACCACGTTGGCCAGGCTGATCTCAAACTCCTGACCTCAGATATCTGCCTGCCTCGGCCTCCCAAAGTGCTGGGATTACAGGCGTGAGCCACCGCGCCCAGCCTAGATTCTGACCTTTTAAGTGAAAGCATGCCGCCCAGCATCCTTAGAGCATCCTGCTTGCTTGCACCTTGGAGGGTCTGATGGGAGATTTTCTTCATTGATTTACCTTTCTTTGTGTTTCTTGTGTTGTGATATGCAGGATTTTTGTGTTTATGCAGTCAAACTTATTCATTATTTTCTTATTAGTTTTTCAACAATAGGATGAGATGAGGAACTTGCCTGTAGTTACTTCTAGTTGATGCATGTCCCCATTTTCACAGTGATCTCGGTAATTCACCTGGAAGGTATTTTGGGCTGGGATGTGAAGGAGAGCGCTTAGGTTTGGTTGACCAGACGTCCCAAAAGCATCCAGTATGAATTCTCTTTTGAGGCCGCCACCCCATTCCCACCATGTTGTTAGTGTCTCTGCAGTGGGTCTACTTTGGAAGCCCTGGCATTGTCATCTGCATCTACAGGCCCGGATCTGTGTTCTGGATCCAGGACCACCCCCCTGCTCTGCATTCTGGGTTCTGAGCCACCCCAGTGCTCTGAATTCTGGGTCCAGGGTCTCCCCTACTCTGAGCTCAAGGGAGCATCTCACATTTTCCTCCAAAGCAACGGAGTGCGGTCCACAGGCTGGCCCGGGCCACAGACCACCTGTTGGGGCCTGCCATGAGTTAAGTTTAATAATGTACACTGTTTAGAAACTTTGTTGTAGCAATTCAACTTTGTTGTACCATTTCTACTGAATTTTGCAAAAGTGTTGGTCCTCAGCAGATCGGAGGAAGAAACTAGTTCTTTGCCATGAGATCTTGGGAAGCCTGGTCTCCATCGCTGACACCATCTTCCTCTGCATTGAACCTGACCATGTCGGATACAGATGTTAATGCTGTCACTGCTCTTTTTCTTTAACTTGTCTTTATTTCATTTACTTCCTGCCTGACTTTGAAATGAAAGGGGAATGAGTTAATGGGAAGGCAATTTTTTTTTGTATTACATGGTCTTCTTTCTTGCCTTGTTTCAAAAACATTTAATATATGTGAACATTCAGCCTAGATATTTTCTCAAATTTCTTATTTCTGTACCTTTAACATTGATTCCCTTTTGTAAAGCAGTAAGAAAAAAGGTCCCAACAGTAAAAGAGCAGAGGACATGAATAAGCGGCCCTAAACATATCAAAGCAATTTTAATGTCACGAAAAGTTAAATAAACACAAAGTAACACACAAAAATGAATAATACTTTTTAAATCTATTCCATTGCTAGAAATAACTGGAAGACTGAATTCCTGCTCGTGAAGCAGCACTGAAGTGGGAACCCTCCTGCCCTGTGTAGACAGGGAAACGGACACAGCTTCCCAAGAGAAACTTGGCCACAGAAACCAAGGGCAGAGACAAGGTACAGGTTTTTGACCTGGCATTGCTGTTTTTAGAAATATGTGCTGAGAAAATAACCAAAGAAGCAGACACAACTTTAGTACAATAAAGTCCTCAGGGTCTAAGGCAGAATGGCCAAAACAACCACCCACAACAATCACAACCAAATCTGGGAAGAGCTTAAATGCCCCATCAAGAGACAGTTAAATCCAGCTGTACCAATTCCATGGACTAGTATACGGCCATTAAAAATCGTGTGAAGGGTTCAAGAAATGGGGAAATGTTCTTGACATATCAGCACCTCGCAGATAGTACAACAGTACATTCCCAGACACATTCACACACACACACACGTGCAAATACAGACAATGCCAGAAGGCTGAGAAATAGCACCTTCTTAATTTTTGCTCACTCAGAATATTTTCTAACTTCCATGTTAGGCTGATTTACCCTCAGTTATTCCTGGGGCTTGTCTCCGATAACACTCTTCCCTCTGTGATCACCTACCACGTACCTGGGGTTCTGCAGGTGTTTTGTCATGTCATCACATTTATTCAATTTCTAGGGACAAGGCAGCTGCTTCCCCCAAGACAACTGGAGATGCCCACTGCCCTTTGCTCTGTCTGCTGAGAGGACCAAGAGCAATGACACTGCAGTAGCAGTGAGCACACCCAGTGTTCAGATCTTGGTTTCTAACACCATCTCCAATTAAAAGAACCAGAGGGAGGCAGAGGTCAGAGGGGAGCAGCCACCTGTGACTTGAGCAAGGACCTGAGTGAAGTGGCCACAAGCCCAGAAGTGCAGAAGCTGCCAGAAAGAAGTGGAAAGAGGAAAGGAGCGGATTCCCCACGGATGCCTTCAGAAGGAGCCACCTTGACTTTAGCCCTGTGAGTCCCATTTCAAATTTCTTGCCTCTAGAAAGGTAAGAGAATAAATTGCTGTACTTCTAAGCCATTGGGTTCTGGGCATTTGTTAGAGCAGTGGCAGGGAAGTGCATGACCCACTCATGGTTGCCTCTGGCTCTCAGCTCCATGTGCTGAGTGACATGGGTGCAGTTTGCAGCCCCACTCAGGTTCTCCGGAGCACCATGCAGGGACCTCGACAGAGGCTCGTGGCCCAGGCTGCACCCCTGCTTTGGCTGGACACTGGGCACCCCTCCCTCTTAATGTGGGAGAATCCCACCCTGCACAGCACCCTGCAACCCCAGGCAGGCTCGGTGGTGGCTGCAGAGGCTCTCCCTTCCTTCTGGAACTTAGTGGGATGCACCCACATGTGTGCTCTGCACACACAGAGGAGCTGTCTCAAGCCAGCGGCCCCTCGCCTGAGCTCTCACCAGTGCTTTCCTGGCAGGACTTTGTGCCCCCTACCCCCACTGCCAACCATGGCGCCACACACTGTGGATAGGTAGACACTAATCCTTGTCAGGTCTTGGGGGGGGCACCCCTCACTCTGCTGTGGGGCAAGAGCCAGTGCACACCTTGGCCTTGAGACCTCTTGACAGATGTCTCCCAGATGCCGTTGTCACCTCTTCTATCCTGAGTGGCTACACCCTTGGTGTGCTGCATTGGCTGGGGGTCTCACACTCATCAGATTCAAGCCTGGGTATCTTCACATTCACCAACTTGCTGCAGTCACATTGTAGGAAATGGTTTGAAGCAGAAGCTATGGGGCCAGGAGGGCTGGAACGGGAACTGACTTGAGAAAATGGTATCCCTGGAGGACATGGGGAACATGCAGAGGAGGATAAGCTAACCAAGGGCCTCCCAGGTGCAGGACACAGATTCTGAGGAGAAAAGAGGAGGATGGGAGGCCGGAGGGCAGAGGGCAGACAGAGGAATGTATGACATGGGCCAGGGAGTGAGGCTGGGCCCAGGCCAGCCCAGATGGCCGTGCACAGATTTGTGTCTCCACCCAGAGAAGGGGGTGATGGGATCCACTGTGGATTGAAAGTCCACTATGAAGTGTAGGGAGCAGATTTGGGGTCGGTGACAGGGCCACAGGAGCCTAGTGAGGACGCCAATGCTATCACCCAGGCTGGGTGTTGGTGGCCAGGGACAAAGGAGGAGGAGGGGCTGGCAGGAGGCAGCAGACTGTGAGCTATCACAGGACAATGGGGAGGCCTGAAGGTTGAATGAAACTGAAGGGGGAGGAGGAGGGGCACTGAATGACCTCCCCAGGCTTCTGCTTGTATAACAGACTGGATGGGGTCGGGGAGGTTAGGAGGAGAAGTTTGCAAGTTGGGTTTGGGCAAAGTGAGTCTGCAATGCCTTTTAGACATTCAGGAAGATATGTCCAGGTCATTTGGCTGTTCTGGTCTAGAGCTCAGAGGAAGCACCTGAGCTGGAGGTCCAGGTGGGCCCCTGGCATGTGGGCATCACCTGGAGCTGTGGCCGTGGTGAGAGGTCACAGGTGTGAGCCCCAGGAGCTCCAGGACAGGAGGAAGGTCCTACAGAGCAGTCACAATGGAGGAGGAAAGGGAACACAAGCAAAGGAGCAGAAAACATCAAGGAGATGCCTTCAAGGACTATTGACCATGTAGGGATAAGAGATGCGAACTCACACACACTGGCTTGTAGGAGGCCAAGGAAACCCAAAAAACTCACAGAAGCAGATTCTGCCTGTGAAAACAAGGTGCCGTGTGCTGGGCTCTTTCTTTGAGATGAACAGAAGGCAGTCACAAAAGAGACTGTCTTAAGAGGAGGACAATTTGCAGAAGTGGCAGCTTTCCCCTAAACAAAGAAAAAGAAAAAAGATAATGAATTAGATTGAGCAGTAGCTAATAGAAGTTGATAACTGAATAAATAATATATTTATTATGTGCCTAGGTACTTAGATTACCTTATATTTTAATACCATATTGTGAATTTTCATTTAAAACAAAATAAAATTATTAGTAAAGAGTGATCTATTTTACTTTATTTTTTGTAATGCTAAACTAAGACATAATGAGAAAGGCATAATGGTTTGGATTATGTTTACATGTTCTTCAAAAATTAATATATTGCAAACACATTTAAGAATGGCATAATATATAGAAAATCCTAAGGAATCTACAAAAAACTGTTAGAACTAATATCACAGTGAGGCTGGAGAATAAAATATCAATTTACAAAAATCAATTGTAGACACCAGCAATAAACAATCTGAAAATAGAATTAACAAAACAAATCCATTTAAAATATTATAAAAAAGAATATATACTTAGGAAGAAATTTATCAAAGAAGTACCAAACTTATACTCTCACATACTCTGTAATCTGAATATTACAAAACTGTTTAAAGAAATGAAAAACATTCAAATAAATGGAAAGATATACCATGTTCATGGATCAGAAGACATATTATTGGCAAAATGACAGGGGTGGTTAGTCTTACATGTCAACTTAGCTAGCCTACAGTCCCTAGATATTCAATTAAATACTAACCTTGATGTTGCTGTGAAGGCATTTTAGATGTGACTGAGTTCCATAGTCAGTTGACTTTAAGTAATGGAGCATACACTAGATAATATGAATAGACCTGATCTGATCAGTTGAAAAGCTTTGACAGGAAAATTGAAGGTTCTCTGAAGAAGAAAAACTTTTGCCTATGGACAGCAGCTTCTGCTTGTGCCCAGAAGTCCTAGCCTCTTGTGATTGGCAACCTACTCTATGGATTTCAAACTTGCCTAGCCAGCCTTCAAAACTGCTAAGCTAATTCCTGCAAATAAACAAACATTCTGCTGATTCTTTCTCTGGTGGAACACTAACTGATACAATGGCAATATTCCCCAAATTGATCTACAGCTCTAATGCAATCCTTCTCAAAATCTCAGCTATTGACAGTACATAAACAACAAAAGATAGCATAGATAAATTGGACTCCAACAAAATGTAAAATTTTTGTTCTTCAAGAAATTTTGTGAATCAAAAAAATAAAAAGACAACGCACAGAATAGGAGAAAATATTTGCAAATCATACTTTGCATAGAGGACTTGCATCTAGAATATATAAAGAACTTTTGTAACTCAGTAATAAAAAGACAAATAACTCAAATAAAAAATGTGCAAAGAATTGATACACTTTTCTTCAAAGAAGATACACAAATGTGCAAGAGTAACCTGAGACGTGCAAATCAAAACTAGGAAGACACCACTTCATACCCACTAGGATACCTGTAATGGAAGAGATGGATAATAATAACTATTGGCAAGGATGTGAATAAATTGGAACCTTCATCCACCGATAGGGGAAATGTAAAATGGTGCAGCCATGTTGGAAAATAGCTCAGCGGTTTCTCAGATGGTTAAGCCTAGAGCTACTATACAGCATAGCAATTCCACACCTAGATATATACCCAAGAGAAAGGAAAACAGGTCCACAGAAGCCTGCACATGAATATTCATAGCAACACTGTTCAGCAGAGCCAGAAAGTGGAAGCAACCCACATGCCCGTCAACTTATGAATGGACACATTAAATGTGGTGTATACATAAAAAGAACAACCACTCAAGTGTTGTGCACACGGTAACAGGGATAGATCTTGAAAACATTATTTTAAATGAAAGCTTCCGGTCACAGAGGACCACATACCATATAGAGACAGAAAGTAACTTAGTGGCTGAGCCGGGGAGTTAGGGGAAATGGCAAGTTACTACTCATGGGCACAGGGGTCCTCTGAGCATGTGAAAATGTTCTAGAATTGACCGTGGTGATAATTGTACAACTCTCTAAATATGCTAATATATATGTTACTATAATATATAGTAATATATACTACTAATATGCTAATTTAGTATATATTAGTATATATACTAATACACATTATATAGTATACAATTTATATACCATATGTATATAAATGTATAGTATATAATTTATATACCATATGTATATAAATGTATAGTATATAATTTATATACTGTATGTAAAATTTATATTATATATAACTGTATATCATATATAGTTATATATTATAGTTACATAGTTATTTAACTATATAATATATATTATGTACTATAATATATAATTTATATATTATATAATTTATTTATTAGTATATAAAATTAGTATATATACTAATATATAAACTATTAATATATAAATATATAAATTATGTATTATATACATTTATATATTATATACTATATAAATTATATATAAGTATATATAAATTAGCATGTTAGTATATATTATATATTAATATATGCATAAAATATTTATATATTTTATTATATATTTATAACATATAAAATAATATAGATTATATACTAGTATATATAATATACGTTAGTATAAAATAATACATTATATATTGATGTATATATAAGTACATATATATTAGTATATATTTTTATCTATTTATAACATAAAATAATATATATTAGTATATAACATATATTAATAATACATATTACATATTAGTATATATAAATTAGTGCATTAGTAAATGTACTAAAACCACTGAATTGGATACTTTACGTGAGTGAATTGTACGATATATGAACATATCTCAATGAAGCTGCTATAAGGAAACCATGATTAACTGGTCCTATTCATCAGAAAGTCTCTGTGAGTTGAAAGAAGCAGATCTAAGGCTCCCCATGGCATAAAAAGAAAACACATTGAAAAGAACTCGGTTGTTTTCAGTGGAGACCTCAGCTAGAAACTAAAACTCTGTGAGAATGGATTGGCTTTTAGCTTCCTATGGAGCTTCCTATGCCCTTCCCCAGGGCAGGGCAGGGCAAGGCAGGGCAAGGCAGGGAAGGGCAGGGCAAGGCAGGGCAAGGCAGGGCAGGGCAGGGCAAGGCAGGGAAGGGCAGGGCAGGGCAGGGCAGGGCAAGGCAGGGCAAGGCAGGGAAGGGCAGGGCAAGGCAGGGCAGGGCAGGGCAGGGCAAGGCAGGGCAAGGCAGGGAAGGGTAGGGCAGGGCAAGGCAGGGCAAGGCAGGGAAGGGCAGAGCAGGGCAGGGCAGGGCAAGGCAGGGCAAGGCAGGGCAGGGCAAAGCAGGGCAGGGCAGGGCAGGGCAGGGCAGGGTAGGGCAGGGCAGGGCAGGGCAGGGCAAGGCAGGGCAGGGCAAGGCAGGGCAAGGCAAGGCAGGGCAGGGCAGGGCAAGGCAGGGAAGGGCAGGGCAGGGCAGGGAAGGGCAGGGCAAGGCAGGGAAGGGCAGGGCAAGGCAGGGAAGGGCAGAGCAGGGCAGGGCAGGGCAGGGAAAGGCAGGGCAAGGCAGGGCAGGGCAGGGCAAAGCAGGGCAGGGCAGGGCAGGGCAAGGCAGGGCAAGGCAAGGCAGGGCAGGGCAGGGCAAGGCAGGGCAGGGCAGGGCAAGGCAGGGCAGGGCAGGGCAAGGCAGGGCAGGGCAGGGCAGGGCAGGGAAGGGCAGGGCAAGGCAGGGCAAGGCAGGGAAGGGCAGGGCAAGGCAGGGAAGGGCAGGGCAGGGCAGGGCAGGGCAAGGCAGGGCAGGGCAAGGCAGGGCAAGGCAGAGCAGGGCAGGGCAAAGCAGGGCAGGGCAGGGCAGGGCAGGGTAGGGCAGGGCAGGGCAAGGCAAGGCAGGGCAAGGCAAGGCAGGGCAGGGCAGGGCAGGGCAAGGCAGGGCAGGGCAGGGCAGGGCAGGGCAGGGCAAGGCAGGGCAGGGCAGGGCAAGGCAAGGCAAGGCAAAAGAAAGGCAGGGAAGGGAAGGGAAAAGAAAGGCAGGGAAGGGAGAGAGGTAGGGAGGGGAGCAGGGAAGAATAAAGAGGATTAGCTCCACACCAGGAGACGGAGCACACTTCCCCTCTCTGACTTTCAGTGTTTTAAACACCTTCCTCCTCCAGAGTGCCCTCTGGCTCCCTCTGACCTGGATTCCCAGCTCTGAGTTTTTCATGTAGGATGACCCGTCCCCCTTCCCACGCCTGTCTCTGCTGAGTCTGGGTCAGATCCAGACTGGCCAACTTGAAGTCCTTGAATTCCACACTTCGCCAGCCAGAAGCTGCTTTTGGCAGCCCTGGAGGTAGGTCAGAGGGCAAAGAGAGAATCTTGGAGGAAGAGATCCCAAAAGTTCCGAAGTTCCAGCTGAGTTAGCGTTTTAGAAGAGCTAGAATGACCGACCCTTCGTGGGAAAAGAGTGCTGTTCAACTCTAACAAGGCCTTAGGGAAAAAGAGAGAGAGAAAGAGGGGGAGACAGAGGAGGAGGGAGGGAGAGAGGGAAGAAAACAGAGAGAAAGGGGGGCAGAAAGGAGGGGTAGAGAGGGAGGAGAAGCTCAGAGGAGGAGGATGGAGCTGTGGTCGGCATCAGGGGTCCCCTCTTTACACAGCCCACTGTGGTATCCCTTTCATATGAGCAGCCAGCCCCAGGGTCTGCAGGGTGCATAGTTTTTTTCTAATTAACAACAACAAAAGAGCCCCCTTGATCACCCACATTTGCATCCCCTCCCCACACTCAGGGTTCTGATGGTGCAGCCAGGAGCTCCACCCTGAAACCCACCCAGATGTGAATCCCCCAGGCCTCATCAAGTGGTCCCCAGAATCTTCCTCCTCCCATTAGCACCTTCCCAGAAAAGCTCTTACGGTCACAGCCTTCCTCTAAGCAAATGGATTCCCACCAGAGGGTCTGTGTCTCAGGGGCATGAATGAGTCTGGGAAATCGCATCCACAGAGTCAACTGTGTGGCCCTTTTTCTCCTACTGTTCTGGTTCTTAACCTACATACCATCAGATCATAAATTTGCTATTGTCTTTAATAAAAGCTAGATTCGATGGGCACGGTGGCTCATGCCTGTAATCCCAGCACTTTGAGGGGCCGAGGTGGTTGGATCACCTGAGATTCGGAGTTCGAGACCAGCCTGACCAACATGGAGAAACCCCAACTCTACTAAAAATACAAAATTAGCCAGGCGTGGTGGTGCATGCCTGTAAACCCAGCTACTCGGGAGGCAGAGGAGGATGAGAATCGCTTGAACCCGGGAGACAGAGGTTGTGGTGAGCCAAGATCAGGCCATTGCACTCCAGCCTGGGCAACAAAAGCAAAACTCCTTCTCAAAAATAAATAAATAAATAAAAATAAAAATAAAAGCTAGATTAAATGGCTGCTGTCCCAGACACCTGGGTCTGGGTGGCCAAGTCTTCGGAGATGCCTTCAGATTGTGTCCCCTCTCGCTGCCTCAAAACACAAGGGGATTGTCATGCCTCCTGTCATGGTCCTGCCATTTGAAGTAAGGGTTGAAAGAGCCTTAGAAATGCAAATGGAATCTGCATGCAGGTCCTCTCTTCTAGTCTAGGACAGCTCCTGAACTGGGTTTTCTCCCTATCTGCATTCCAGCACTGAGGAGACAGACGCTCCTGGAGGTGAAGGGAGTCACCTCAAACTCACACTTGCCCATGGACAGGCTGGCACTTGGATCAGGGTCTCCCCTGTTGTCGGTACCCCATGGGGTCTATGTTCAGTTCTCCGGGTCCTAAATAACCTACAACATCTTTCTAGGGAGAAAGGGGATGTTGGGTGGGAGGAAGAAGCAGAGGTGCAGGGAGGGGAAGTCATTCGTCAGGATGTTAGGCTGGTGTGCAGGCAGAGCCTATCCTTGGAGCCCAGGTTCTCAGAACTGCCCCGCAGGGGCCTCAGAGCAGATAGCGGCAGTGGGTGCCGAGGGGAACTGTGGAATGGGGCCTGGCCAGTCAGTGAATTTTCCAGTCTAAGGTGGGGGAATAACAAACCCCTTCCTTTGCACCCACACTTGTCTATACCTCCTCTCATCTCCCTTCTACCCTGCCAACCCCTCTAAACTTGAGCAGAGAGTACCATGGACTCTGCAATATGTCACCTAACTCTCTTCTCACTTTGCCAGTTCCTTGGTCTGGGTGAGAGGTGGGCTTTGTTTCTGGCTGTCCTTTGCTGTGCAGTCTGCCCTGGCTTGGGTCCTCTGACTCTTCCCGGATGAACTATTCCCTCTTTCATCTCTCCAGACACTTCAACCATGCCAAGAGCCTCTGCTCTCTTCCCCAGCACAGCTTTCTAAGGGATAACTGCACTCTGGCCTACAAAGGCATGTGGTTTCTTCCTTGATGGAAGGCACTTTCTTCTTTTCCTCATCTCTGATAAGTCTCACTAGGAATGCAAACAGTGATTAATGGACAAACAGACCTGGATTGCAATCCTAGATCTTTCTAGAGACTAGGCAACTCCTGTAATTGTTCTGAGCCTCAACTGCCTCTTCTGTAAACTGGAGATAGTGTCCTGTGCCTACGACTGTTGCAGAAGCAAAATTATGCAACATGTGTGGAAGTGCCTGGAAAAAGCTCAGATACTAGTATAAATACTTGTGTCTACACAGAGAAATGATGGGCACCTGAAATGGAAATGTTGTAGGTAAATATAAAATACTTTTTTTGTTTTTAAAATTATTTAAAAGATAATTGGCTGTTTAATGCAAAAATAATAGAACTATATTATGGGGGTTAAAATATCAGTAAAAGTAAATTTAACAATTACAATAAATATAAATGGTCTAAACACTTCAAATAAAAGGAGTAAACTGTCAGACTGGATAAAAAGAACACAACCCAACAACAAGCTGTCTATAAGATGCGTACTTCAGGCCAGGAGTGGTGGCTCACGAACTTTGTGATCCCAGCACTTTGTGAGGCTGAGCGATCACTTGAGCCCAGGAGTTCAAGACCAGCCTAGGCAACATAGTGAGACCTCATCTCAAAAAAACAAAAGATAAAGGCATGCATTTTAAATATAAATACACAGATAGATCAATGGTAAACAGACCTAAAAGAGATATACTATGTAAACTCTAATCATAAGAAAACTAAAGTGGGAACATTTATATCAAAGTTGACTTCGGGACAAGGACTATTACCAGGAATACAAAGAAACATTTTCTAATGATAAAATGGTTAATTCATCAACAGGATATAACAAACTTAAATGTAGGAAACAAAAGCTTGTAGAACTAAAACATCAAATAAATCTACTAATACTATTGGAGAGATCAGTGTTCCTCTCGCCTAAGGGTAGAAGAAGTAGACAAAAAGTCATTGAGGATACAGAGAAGTTGGAGAGCAGTATCAAACAACTTGACCCACAGAACTTAGCAAGCACCCCACCCACCAGCAACAGAATCCACATTCTTTTCAGGAAGAGTTCTCCAAATATGTGAGGCCTGATATAAGATAGGGATAGCATTGCAGGTCAGTGGGGAAATAATTGAATAAATGATGCTGAGAAGTTTGCTATCCATGTGGAAAAGAAAAATAAAATTACATCTCTGCTTGCATAATCCCCAAAGATAAAATGTGGCTGGATTAAACATAACTGTGGAAAGTACATTTTTAAAACTGTTATTCAAAAAAATAAATATTTTGTGACCACAGAGTAGGGAAAGATTTATTAAGGAAGTACTAACACAACAGAGGTTCAACACAAAGGACAAAAATGATAAATGTGATTGTATCTATAGTTCAGATTGTACACGAAAGGACATCACAACAAATTTACTAAAACACCACCACATGGAAGATGTCTGTGTCACGCAAAATGGCTGAAGGGTTAAAATCTAACATATGTCAAGAATTCCTACAAAAAGTACAAAATAATAAACAACAGAAAAAATTTTCAAGGATTCAGAAGGGCAATTTATGGAGGGAAAATTTCCAATGGTAAATAAACTTGAAAATATGATCAATCTCACTAAAGGTCAGATAAATCCATATTAAACTACACTAAAACTCCAAAACTGCCCACAAAAAGCAACAGAAATTTAAGTCTCATCACTTAAGTGCTGCAGAGGATGTAGAGAAAACAAAACTTTTATATACTGCTGGTGGGAATATAGATTGACGTAATTACTTTGTATAACAAATTGCCAGTGTCTAGTAAATTTGAAGATGCCTCTACCTGGTGAGGAACAATTTGCTCCTGGGCATATGTTAGAAGCTTAGAGAAACATTAAGTGCACAGGAAGAATTTTATAAAACTATTCCTAGCAATATTACATTTTGTTGAGGAATACATGCATTCATAATGAAAGTGGTTAGAAACTCAGGGTGAGGATAAACACCCAAGTCAGGATGGTGATCCTCTCTTGGCAGGGGGTGTGAAGTGGAATAGGACCAGGAGCGGTACATGGGTGGCTGCAGACATGGATTCCACATTTTATTTCCCAGGCTGCTTGTTGGGCTCATGCATGCACATGAAAGAAAGGTGGAACCTCCCTTATCAAAAATGCTTGGGATGAGAAATGTTTCGGGTTTTGGTTTTTTAAGAATTTGAAATTTTTCTTTTACATAATGAGATAGCTTGGAGATGAGACTGAAGTCTAAACACAAAATTTATTTATGCTTTATAGACACCTTATACAGATAGTTGGAAGGTAATTTTGTCCAATATGTTTAATAATTTCGTGTATGAAACAAAGTTCGTGTTCAGTGCTTGTGCGTAGAATTTTCTAATTGTGGTGTCATGTCAGTGCTCAAAAAGTTTCAAATTGGCTGGGCGCGGTGGCTCACGCCTGTAATCCCAGCACTTTGGGAGGCTGAGGTGGGCGGATCACGAGGTCAGGAGATCGAGACCATCCTGGCTAACACAGTGAAAACCTGACTCTACTAAAAATACCAAAAATTAGCCGGGCGTGGTGGCAGGCGCCTGTAGTCCCAGTTACTCAGGAGGCTGAGGCAGGAGAATGGCGTGAACCCAGGAGGCAGAGGTTGCAATGAGCCAAAATTGCACCGCTGCACTCCAGCCTGGGCAACAGAGCGAGACTCCATCTCAAAAAAAAAAAAAAAAAGTTTCAAATTTTGGAGCATTTCAGATTTTAGATTTTGAGATGAGGGATGTTAAATATATATTCATTTTTTATTTTTAGATGTCCAAAAAGTTGCGTAAATTATAGTTAATTTCAGATGCTTTGGAAACTTAGTTCAGTTAAATACATAAATCATAAAACTGCAGTTAATGTGAAAAATCACCAATGTTTAACTTCTATCATTTGATGCAAAATATTCGTCAGTAAACTTACTTTAAATTGTATTGTGTTAAAAAAATTAGATGATAAAAAGGAAAAAGGAAATAAAGACATGAGACTGATTCTATGATGTTTTGGCTAAATCAATATTTTTCAAACTGTGGTCAGGCCCCTGGGGGTCCCTGAAACTTTCTCAGAAGTCTCTGAGGTCGAAACTCTTTTCATAATGCTAGGAGGCCACTGTTTTCTTCACTATATTGACGTTCGCATTAATGGTACCAAACAGCCTCAGTGCTGGGCCTGGAACCAAAGCCGGAGCCACACCACACAGCAGTCACTGCATGCGTCACTGCCAGGCACTCACGGGGAGGGACAAAGAACATAACCTCCGTGTTACTTAAGAATGTTCTGGGTGAAGGAGAAAAATTATTTATGTTATTAAAGCTCAATGCTTGAGGCACATGCCATTTTAATATTCTAACTAAATAGAAAGTACACACAAAGCCCGTCTGCAAGCTGAAGAACAATGGTTCTCTTGAGAAAAAGCGCCATGTGACTGAACTAAGAGCTCCACTACCCACTTTTTTCATGGAATAATGTTTTTACTTGAAAGAATGACTTACAAACTATTCAGAGTTCAGTCTTTGGCAGATTTCTTGAAAGCAAATGAAGTGAACCAGCCTTTTCAAAGAAAACCATTGACAGTATTTGTTGCCAATGCTAAAATGTGAACTGGAGTGTAAATTAAAATTTTGGAAAGCATGTATTCACCACCAACGTCTTCATAGCTTCCCATTACTTAAAGACTTCCCTGGTGAGATGGGTGGTGATATTAGCAAATATGATTTTTTTGGATACTGAATAATGAAACGTGTCTACATTTGAAAACACTGTATAACTCAGTGAGTCATTATTTTCCAAATGACCAAGATAGGATGTTATAAAATCATGCAAAGTAAAAGATCCATTCAAAGTTAATGATAGGGCTATGCATTTTAATGTAACAGAGATGAAAGCGTTCATTAACAGGATTCAGACTCTACATTGTAACAAATCTTCAAGAAACTACCAATTTTTGTGTATAGCATAAGGGTCCAATTTTATTATTTTGCATGTGCATATCCAGTTTTCCCAAGAGAATATTCTTTCCCTATATGTATTTTTGGCACTCTTGTAGATCAGTCAACCATATACTGTGGATTTATTTCTGGGCTTTTGGACCAGAAACTATAAATCTTCTAGAAAAAAACATATAGGAAAGGCTTTCTGGCATTAGTCTTGGAAATGATTTCATGAATATACCAAAAGCACAGGCAACAAAAGCAAAAGTAGACAAATGGAACGTCAAATGTAAAAGCTTCTGCACAGCTAACAAGCAACAGATGAAAAGGCAACCTACAGAATGGGAGGAAATATTTCCAAACCATAGATCTGATAAAAGGTGAATTTCCAAAATATGTGTGAAACTCCTACAACTCAATATCAAAAACACCAACAACTCAATTAAAAAATAGGCACAGAGCTTGAACAGACATTTCTCTGAAGAAGATACACAAATGGCCAAGAGGTATGAAGAGGCTCAATGTCACTAATCATCAGGGAAACGCAAATCAAAACCAACCTCCTACCTGTGAGAACAGCTGCTAAAAAAGAAAAAAAAAAGACGCGCATCGGTGAGGCTGTGGAGCAACCAGAAACCTCATATACTGTTGTTGTTCAGAACGCAAAATGGTACAGCCATTGTGGAACACAGTGTGGAGTTTCCATCGGTGAGGCTGTGGAGCAACCAGAAACCTCGTATACTGTTGCTGTTCAGAACGCAAAATGGTACAGCCATTGTGGAACACAGTGTGGAGTTTCCTCAAAAATTAAAAATAGGGCCTGGTGTGATGGCTCATGTCTATAATCCCAGCACTTTGGGAGGCCGAGGTGGGTGGATCACCTGAGGTCAGGGGACCAGCCTGGCCAACACGGTGGAACCCCGTCTTTACTAAAAGTACAAAAATTAGCTGGGCATGGTGGCACATGCCTGCAATCCCAGCTACTTGGAAGGCTGAGGGGGAAGAACCGTTTGAACCTGGGAGGTGGAGGTTGCAATGAGCTGAGATCGCGCCACTGTACTCCAGCCTGAGCGACAGAGTGAGATCCATCTGAAAAATAAAATAAAAAATAAAAATAGAACCACCATATGATTCAACAATCTCTCTTCTGGAATTTAACCAAAAGATTTGAAATCAGGACTCAAAGAGGTATTAGTACTCCTGTGTTCATTGCAATATTACTCACAACAGCTAAGATGTGCAAACAACCTAAATGTCCATCAACACATGACTGGATAAAACAAACGTGTACACACAATGGAACATCATTCATCCTTAAAGATGAAGGCAATCCTGCCATAGGCAGCCACACATGATGAACCTTGGGGACAGGCCATGGGAAATAAACCAGCCCCAGAACAAATACTGTATGACTCCATTCCCACCAGGTCCCTAGAGGATTCAAATTCCTAGAGGGAGAAAGTAGAATGGTGGGTGTTAGGGGCTGGGGGCTGGGGGGCAAAAGCTGGGAGTTGCTATTCAACAGGCTTAAAGTTTCAAGTATGCAAGATGAGTAGGTTTTATTGATCTGCTGTACAATGTTGTGCCTATAGCTAACAAAATTGTGTTGCATACTTAAATATTTGTTAAATGTTTTTACCACAATAAAATAAAAAACACTACCAGTCAGACAGGTTGGTACAGAGTCAAAGCAGAAATGCACAATTATATATATAAAAAAAAAACTATTAAAAGAGTTTTATTCCAACAGACCTATCTGTCAGATTTTCTTCATGTATTTCCACCAAAACAACATATTTAACTGATGGCTGGAGAAACAGGCATGAGACTCCAGCTACCATCTATTAACCCAGACTTTTAAGGAGATCTGTGCAATTCTAAAGCAACACAACTCACTGTTTTCACTAAATATTTTACATTAAAAAGTATAGCTGTTTTCCCAACATGTTATTTACATTAACGTATAATATGTTATTATTGTTATTTTTAGGGAATACATCTCTGAGATATTTAGCTTTAATTTTTTATATGATAGACATTGCTAGATATAACCTATGGGAACTAAACCTGTTTGGGGTCCTTGATGGTTTTTAATGTAATGAGGCTTTGAGCCCAAAGCAGTTGCTATCCACTGGGATGAAACATCCATACCACGTCCCATGCCTTCTAATTTCAAGGACAAATGCCCCTGAAAACACAATCAGGGAAACGAATGTTTTCTAGAGACACGTCTACACTGGATTCCAGGGTCTGAGTGTGTGGGTGTAGAAATGCATGCTTAATTGTGTGGAAGAAGGTTGTTCAGATGATAAGTTTGGGAGAGGGTGTGTTAAACAGCCACGGCTTTATTTCTGATAGAGAAAAAAACATACTGATCATTCTTTTTATTTAAAATATTTAAGCTGGTGATTCTGGCCACGTGTAAACATGGCGCTGCTCAGCACTGAGCAGGAGGGAAAAGGGGCGGGGCCTGCCGCCGCGAAGAGGAAGGGGCGTGGGCCCTCCAGATGCGGAGACATTAGAAGAAGGGGTAGGCCTGGGCCGGGACGGTGCCCTCCCCCACGTTAGCCCTGCAGTGACACCGAAGGCTTTGTGCATGGTGGGCCCAAGCACGACACCCTGTGGCCTTGGACCTCAGCCTGGTAAAAAGCTGCCTCCCGGGTGTTCCCAGTGAGTTTTTCACATCAGCGTCTATGGCCACACACTTTGCTCTCTTGGTGAAGTCGACGCTGGTACTCTAAATCAGGGTTCCCCAACCCCTGGGCCATGGACAAGTACCAGTCTGTGGCCTTTTAGGAACTGGGCTGCACAGCAGAAGGCGAGAGGCAGGTAAGCGAGCAAAGCTTCATCTGTATTTATAGCCTCTCCCGACTGCTCACATTACCACCTGAGCTCCGCCTCCTGTCAGATGATTCTCACCAGAGTGCAGATCCTACTGTAAACTGTGCATGCAAAGGAATTAGGTGTGTGCTCCTTATGAGAATCTAATGCCCGATCATCTGTCACTGTCTCCCATCACCCTGATGGGACCATCTAGTAGCAGGAAAACAAGCTCAGGGTGGGTTCCCACCAATTCTACATTATGGTGGGTTGTATAATTAATTATTTCATTATGTATTGCAATGTAATAATAATAGAAACAAAGTGCACAATGAATGTAATGTGCTTGAATCATCCTGAAACCATCCCCTCTACCCCAGTACATGGAAAAGTTATCATCCACGAAACCAGTCCCTGGTGCCAAAAAGGGTGGGGACTGCCGCTCTACATGAAGAAAATCAAGGGGCTTACACATTTATACATTCATTCATCCAGATTCTTCCCAGTACTTATTGATCCCATCTCACGTAGCATGCCTGTGCTGGGGGCTGGGAGCGTTTCTTTCCTCAAGGAATTCGCTCTGCTGGGAAAGTCAGAGAACAAGCCATAAATACGAGAGCTTTGATTATAAGCAGCAAGAAGGAAATCAGCAGCTGCTCTGTGGTGAAGGACAGTTGGGGCCTGGGTCTGTTGCGGTGGACAGAAAAGGCCTCCCTCAGGCCAGGCCATGGTGGTGGAGACCTGGGGCTGAGCAGAGCAGCCTGTGAGGATCTGGGGGAAGAATTC